>NC_000006.12:158404123-158555638 GCF_000001405.40 Homo sapiens
TTCTTATGGTGAGTTCATTGTACTTTTAGGATATTGGATGTCCTTGAAGACCAGAATGTCTACTGCAATACAGATCAGCTTTCATTTAGATTTTTCTTCCTAGCAGCATCTCCTGTGGTGTTAAAAGATCCTGACTTCTGCAGAAAGATGGTAGAAAGTTCCATAGCCCTTTCATAAGTATTGAGTGATAGTTTCTAACCATACCTGCTTCTTAGGTTTGAAGTGTTCCATGGAGATGCTTGGAAGATGTTAGGCCAGGGATCTCTTTGGTGTATGTTACATTTTTTCTGTAACATATAAAATAAAACCCTTAAGAATAATGTATTGAGGATATGTACATGTATAATTAAGGTATAAAAATGCCTGTGAATTGGCCAGGTGCGGTGGCTCAGGCCTGTAATCCCAGCACTTTGGGAGGCCAAGGCGGGTGGATCACAAGGTCACGAGTTTGAGACCAGCCTGACCAACATGGTGAAACCCCGTCTCTACTAAAAATTCAAAAATTAGCCAGGCGTGGTGGTGCACGCCTGTAATCCCAGCTACTCAGGAGGCTGAGGCAGGAGAATTGCTTGAATCCAGGAGGTGGAGGTTGCAGCAAGCCGAGATTGCACCACTGCACTCCAGCCTGAGCGACAGAGGAGACTCTGTCTCAAAAAAAAAAAAAAAAAAAATGCCTGTGAATTAAAAACATGAAATATCCATAAGGTCATTTTTTTCCTCAGACAAGAAAAGATTGAGGTCTGAGAGGAATACAGAGGGCTCTGGATAGTACTGGTGATATTTTAAGCCGAATGAGAACATTTCATAGTAAATTTTTCTTTAAACTGTTATATATGTCATAAATATTGCCTAAGATTTTTAAGTTAAAAAAAAAGTCTATGGAGAGAGTTTAACCTTCTTTCAGCTTCACTTACCTGAAACAAGGTAATAGTCATGGCAGTACCTCCTTCTAAGATGTTTGTGGAGCTAAAATAAGCTATGTAAAATAATGTATGTAAAAATGACTTAAACTTATTGTTGCTGAAATACATTGTTTAAATTCACTGTCTAACAAGATAGTTTTTTCAGACGTATGAGAAGATGGAAGTAAAATATGGTCATTGTGGGAAAATCAGAAAATAAGGAAAAGTTTAAAAATCATTTATAACACACCTGTTGGGGTGATCAGACCCAACACCAGGTCGTGGGGGTGACGAAGTCCAGCGGAGTCAAAGGAATTAGAAAAGACAGTTTGAGAGAGAAAGTGGGTCCAGGGGGCCATCGCTAGTGTGTAGAGGCTGCGAAGGCCCCGAGCTCTGGGAGCCCAGACTATTTATTGGTGATCAAACAGGTGTTGAGAATGTGGGGGTCAAAAGGGCACCGTTGCATTAAGCACATGATTTACAGCTGTGACGGTTTAGCATATGCTCTGCTACTTGAGATAATGGAGAGCAGGTTCTTTTAACTCAAGATACAATCGATCCTGGGAGAGCAAGGAGCAAGGAGCAAGGAGCCAGCAAGTCTAGACACATTCCAGAGCCACGAGCCCTGGATTCTATCCAAGCCACAAGGGGTTTTTATGCCCTGGGCTGAGATTATGGTGCGTCAGGGTAGCCTTCCACCCTTTAGCACAGAGCTTGGCGTTCCAAAGGCCACAAGGAGTTTTAGACCCTGGATCCCGGACATGTTCCAAGAATCTTTTACATTATGTCAGACGTACAAGCCTTGCCTCGGCGTCTCCCAACACACACCACCAGGAACGTCTTAGTTTATTTCTCTTTAGTGTGATTTTATTTTCTTTCCTCAGAACCAGAACTAATTGATACAGTTGTTTTCTAGGACATTTTTGCATTGTAGAAGTATGACAGCAAGAACACATGCTTAAAAAGCAAAGAATGAAGTGGCTCCTCTGAGTGTTCCACCAGGTGCTCCTTGGGCAGGCGTCTCTCCCCTCTTTGTGTCCTCCCTGAATGCACCTGTTTGGTGCTTCCTGAATACTCATTGGCTGAGTGATTGACGGCCACAGGTGACAGCTTGGTTAACAGGTGCTCTGAACAAGAGAGAGAAGACAGAGCCTCTTGGACCCTGACCTAACCTTGAACTTGCTTTGTGACCTTAGGAAAGCTTATTCACCTCATTAGCCTACCTTTCCTCATCTGTGAGCCAGAGCACTAAACATTTATGTTTAGAGCTAAACAGATGTCTGTTTTAGCTCTAAATTAACTATTAATACTAATAACTACTAGATACACCAAGGGTATTTAGTTGAGAGTGAGTGAAAAGAAGTGATGAGGAAAAATGTGAATTTCACAAGTTTTCAAAGTGATTTGCAACCTCAATGAATAGTGCATGTGATTGAACATACTTTCCAGTAGAATTTTTACTCAGGAGTTTGCAGCTATGATGAGTGGAAAAGAATAGAAGTTAGAGTCATAGGGGGTACTATTCCACAGGATTTTGAGGCAGATGAATGCCTGAATATGGTCAAAAGATGAAAGTATTAACTGTTGGGTTTCCTCCAGACCGTAATTATAATGTAGCTCTTCAGCATTGTTTTATCTTGCTTTAATGGAAGAATCTTGCTGCCACTTAATAGATGAGAAGCATGGAATGGTAGTTTCGCATTCATATCAGATTTGGTGTGGAGTTCACTTTTTCCTAATTCAGGCCTGGCTAATAATATAAACTCTATCCAATAAGAAGATATATTATTTTCTGACAAAAAAGTTTGGAAAATACAGGAAGGAATGTGTAACTGTGTTTCCTGGTACATGTCCTAAGGAAGCTGGGACTAGAAGGTCACCCCCCAGCACATGCAGGTTCAGAACTGGTTAGAGGCACGGCGGTCCCCAGATTCCAGGGCTTTGACCACAGATCTGTTTTCTGAGTTCCTGTATTATCTCTAGGCCATTTCATTCACAGATTCTTGCCAACCAACTGAGATTAACTGAATTGTGTTTGAATGAGAACTGGATTTGTGAACATTCAAATGACAGAAATAAATTTGGCTATCTGAAAGTAAAATCTAAAGTTTTCTTCACATGTAGTTAGTGTTTCAGAGGGCTTAAGAGAAACTCAGTAATAGTAAAGACTACCCAACTAAAAATGGGCAAAGAATCTGAATAGACATTTCTCAAAAAACACACAAATGGCCACCAAGCACATGAGAAGATGCTCCGCATCATTAACCATCAGGGAAACACAAATCAAACTGCTGCACACTCACCAGGGTGGCTGTCATTTTTTAGAAGACAGGCAATAGCAAGTATTAGAATTTGGAGAAACTGGGAACCTCAGCCATTGCTAGTGGGGAT
Organism: Homo sapiens; assembly: GCF_000001405.40. NCBI lineage: Eukaryota > Metazoa > Chordata > Mammalia > Primates > Hominidae > Homo > Homo sapiens. Next base: position 158,407,417 of record NC_000006.12, read on the forward strand.
GTAAGTTGGTGCATCATTTTGGAAACCAGTCCTGTAGTTCCTCAAAAAGTTGAACATAGAATTATCATTTGACCCAGCAACTCCACTCCTAGGTATAGACCCAAGAAAAATGAAACATGTTTATACAAAAAAAAAACTTGCACACAAAAGTTCATAGCAGTATTCATAATAGCTAAAAGTTGATGAACAGATCAACAAAATGTGGTCTCTCAATACAATGGAATGTTACTGGGCTATATTTAAAAGGTAAACACTGATACATGGTACAACATGGATAAACCCTGAAAACATGCTAAGAGAAGGAAGCCGGTCACAAAAGAGAACATATCGTATGATTCCTTTTATATGAAATGTCCAGAGTAGGCAAATCTGTAACAACAGAGAATTGGTTGCTTAGGGCTGGAGGGAAATATTGTGGGGTTGGTTGGTGGTAGCTAAAAAGTACAGGGCTTTGAGGGTTGAGGTAGATGTTCTAAAACATATTGTAAAGGTTGTACAACTCTGTGAATATACTAATAACCATTGCATTGTACACTGACAATGGGTGAATTACATATGTGAATTTTGTCCCAATAAAGCTGTTATCCAACCCCTTATCATTTGAATCAGTTTTAACATCTTACTCTTGAGAGAGAGAGAGGGAACAGATAACGGTTAATCATCTTTCAAGAATAGTTTAATAGAACAAAAGCTACAAAGTTCTCAGTCTGGTGTGGAACATTTGTGTGACGGAGCGCAGTGTACCGTATGGGCCGGGACTGTGCAGAAGGTGCTGCACGCAGAGCAAGCGGGAGTGCTTGGAACTTCAGGGAAGGCTTTACTCACCAGGCGGCAAGGGGCAGAAGGGTGTTCCTGGCCAAGGGTGGCACGAAGCATGTGGTGATGTTGCTTTTTAAGTTACAGAGTTGGGTAAGGGGTGCAAGTGGTGGGAGACAGGTCTGGAAAGGGAGATTACCTTTCAAAACATTTATCTTTTATTAAAGAGGAAACTGTATATGTAAATACTGTGCTGAAGCAGTCTTTATCTTCTGGAGTTTTGAGTTTGTGAATTAATAACACAGAGCTCTCATTTGCTGAATGTTTGCGGTGTGCCTGGCCCCGGTCTGAGGTCCTTTCTTAAGATACTCCTCACAACTCCGTGAGGGGTGTGCTACCATGGCTTGCGTCAAGCAGACGAGGAAAGGGGCAGCAAGAGGGTCCTGGTGGCCACAGCTGTGCAGCTGGTGAGTGAATGACGAGGCCCGGAGTCAGAGCCAGGCAGCCAGACTCCAGAGCCCGCCTTCCTCACCACTGACCTCCCGGTGACATCTCTGGGGGCAGCAGTCTGCAGAACCATTGTTCTAGTTGAATTTCTTCCAGCCTCCTTTTCAGGGTGCTTTTGGTTCGTTAAAATGACCACATGTGTCTACAATTAAATTGGCAATCACTTTGTTTTTCTTGCACAATTGTAGTTGTTGCTGGTTCACTTAATAAATTGCAGAATAAGAAGAACAGAGTGGTGATAATCACAGGGATTTCTTCCTTGAGCTGTGTGTATTTAGTGTTCATTCAAATTACATTTGTTTTAGGTTGAGAGAAATCCTTCTGAATAGTGATGACATTGGTTGTTCCCTGAGATGGCTTCTTGTGTAAATCTATCAACACCCTTTGGAGGGCTCCTGACTCAGAAGATGAACGTCCTTGGGATGGGCAAAGTGATGCTTGTTTTGCCTTCCCTAAAAGTAGTTCTAGGTGTAAGAAGTGATGTGACTGACTTAGGGCCTTAGATTATGGCCCAAATGTAGGCTTTCTGCAGTTCTGCCCTATGTTTTTTTGTGTAGATTTTCCTGCCTTTAATAACTTCACTGATAATAGTAACACTCTAAAATGAGAGAACATGTCTTATATTGGAGAGGGTAATAGGTTGGTATCTTTTTGAACCATCAAAGGCCTAGGTCAAAACTAACCCTTTCCTCTGACTTCTTAGTCAAAGAACATACACTTTAGCTAATACCCCAAGACAGAAGTTCTTTGGTGCTGAGAGTCAACGAGAGTCACATTCTCCTTGAAAAGGGAAGGGAAGCTCTATACCTGGATAACTGCGCAGATCCATGGCCCCATAGCACAAAATTCGGGCAACTGAGAACCCAGCTGGCCCCCAGCTGGTAATTCCTCAACATTCTGGTGTGTCCTAACATTGCCAAATAGGCTGGAAGGATTTAGAGAACAGGAAGTAAGCTACTGGGAGATAAGGCTGCAGCTGTGAATTATAGACAGGGGAGGAAATGAGAATAACAGCATTAGCAGTTTGGCTTTATTTTTAAACCAAAAATCACTGGAAAGATTTCTGTCTCTAATTTAAGGGTGTTACTCACCTTTTCGTTTATACTAGTTGGAACTCTTAGCAAAGTATGTAAATGGGACTATGTTTCCATGTACTGCTGCATCTCAACTGATTAAGAATCTTTTTTTTTTTTAGAGGTGGAGTCTTGCTCTGTCGCCCAGGCTGGAGTGCAGTGGCATGATCTCGGCTCACTGCAAGCTCCGCCTCCCGGGTTGATGCCATTCTCCTGCCTCAGCCTCCCGAGTAGCTGGGACTACAGGTGCCCGCCACCACGCCCAGCTAGTTTTTGTATTTTTAGTAGAGACGGGGTTTCACCGTGTTAGCCAGGATGATCTCAATCTCCTGACCTCGTCATCTGCCCTCCTCTGCCTCCCAAAGTGCTGGGATTACAGGCGTGAGCCACCGCACCTGGCCACTGATTAAGAATTTCTAAAAGATGAAATTGAGTCTGTGAACATTTCGTTTATCCAACAATGGCAACTGTGTTGTCATAAGACCAAAAAATCTTCAATTTCACATTAGAAATCATTTAAAAATATGTTTTGCCTCCACTCTTTTGTGTTTGTGTCATGCTGTGACTGTGCAGCCTTTTTCATGGAGAGGTTTGTTTTTGATGGATATTAAAGGCAAAAATGTAAATGTGGCTAGCCTCTCTCCTCTGGAGTATGACATCTTGTCATCAAGTATTATTTTACAGAGAGAGTCATAGTGGATGAGTATTCATTGGTATTACATTTAAATAAGGAAATAATTTAAAAACTGATCAGTCATGAACATCGTGTTCTTAATTTGTCATGTTCTATTCCACAGTGGCCATTCTGAAGTACATGAGTGACTATGGGCTTAAATAACTAATGTGTTAGGGACCAAATTGTAGCCACATGCACATTTGTGGATTCTAGTGCTTGGGTCAAATCATTGGCAGATCTGAAAGATGTCTGTGAAGTGGGCTTTTATTTACCATTTGGAAATCCTAAATTTTATGACATGTTCAATGTCATTTAAGGACTTTTGTTGATGTTGGTCTAACTTAAAAAAAAATCAGTAATTCTAATACAGGATTTTTTAAACTAAGCTAAAAAAATGAATCTGGGTTTGTTGCCCTGCTCCCCACATGAGTTGAGCCCCCTCCTTTGTCTGTGTACAAAGGACTGTATTAATGTCTGTTTAGGAAACTGAACTCCAGGGAGACAAGATGTCCTAATCGCGGTCCTTGGCACCTAACAATGTCTGGTTTATCATAGGCAGGCAGGCAGTATATGCTGTTGTTCAAATGCCTTTGGGAATTGAAAGTAAACTACTTGAGGGAGCTGCGGTGGCTCCAGCCGGTTGTCCTGGCGTACAAGGAGGCGAGGCTATGCGGTCGAGGCCAACTTAGGTAAAAGTGAAAAAAAAAAAAAAAAAAAGTAAACTACTTGAAATAGTTTCCAATACCTTCTATATAGTTCAAAGATATAAGTTAACAAGGATTACAACTTCTAATGATATATTATTGTTTGCACAATATATTCATAATTGCTGTGTGTCAGTATTCAAAGGTGAACATGCCTCTGTCCTTTTCCTCAAGCAGCACAGACCTGTGGGGGGTGGGTGGTGTTCACAAGCTGATAGTTCTGTAAGCACTGCATCCACAGAGCTATGACTAGAGCAAGGAAGAGGGTCTCAACAGAGAGGATTCCGCTAGATGGGGCCACCTGGGAGTTCTCAGTGTCCACATCCATGCAAGGTGAGCCATCAACTGGATTCAGTTTTTCTAGTGATCACCAGGTCTCAAAAGATTGCAACCTCACAGCTGCCTCTGATTTTTGCAGTTTTAAAAAAGAGCTATGATATTCTTCACACTTTAAGTGGGTAATAATTTCTCTTGAAAAATTTGATTTTATTATACATTTTACAACAAGTGCAGATAACACCAAGTGTGGCCAACCAAGGCTGCTCAAGGCACACTAAATCAGGTGATTCCTGGGGGTTCCTCCTAGCCCTCTGGTGCCCTAGACACAAGTTTAAAGACCTAAAATCAGGTGTGTCCATGGCATCGCTTTGAGAAGTCCCGGGGTTTATGTGTTGGTCTGAAAGCAGAAATTGTACTTTGGACAGAGGGTGTGAGGAGGGTCCTGGGCACTGTGGAAGTCTTTAACTATCAGTCCTTTTTATTTTCAGATATAAATTAGAATTTGGAAACCATTAACACCAGTGCCACATGTTCACAACTATTATAATTAGCTATTAGGCACAAAATGCTGGGAGTAGACAAGGGTTCAAATCTTCTTTTATTCATAGCAAGAGTACTCTTGCCTGGTTAGTAATAGCTCTTATTTTATTGATATATGTCAGTATCTAGCTGCATGTCTGGAGGTTCTGACTTCCCAGCTGGAACTTACCTGAGAACAACAGGTGTGTTTCATAGCCACCAACTCAGTATTAGTCACATAGCATGAATGTAAAAAATGTGTGCTGAATGTGTCAGACTGAATTAATTCATGATTACCAGGATGGGCCAATCAGGAACAGCCTCAGGGAACATTCTCCAGGGTGAGCCCTGCCGTGTTGGTTTGGTGGCTCATGGTGTCCGGGGACCATTCCATAACCCTCAGTCCCTCGCTACTTTTACTGGGCCCTGTGAGGCTTCCCTCAGACTCCTCCGGCACTCACCTATTCTCAAAAGCCACCTAGCCGAGTTGCTACCTTTTTAGATAAGTGATCAGAATTTTTCAAATTAAAAAACAAAGTTCTTATACTCAGAAAATTTGAAGCTTATAATTTCTTGTTATTTCCTCTGTGATAAATCGTAAACAACTTAGATTTTTCAAGTATGTATTTTTTTTTCCAAATTAACCACATTTAGATGATTTAGATGCTAAACTATTCAGAAATAAGTTAGATACGGAAAATTTTGCTTCTGGAGGAAAATGAACCTAAATAGTACTCACCCTTTCCTCTTTCCATACTAAATAAATAATACCCTGATTCAAATCCATAGTAAATGTTGTTAAAATAGTTTCCCCACAGCACAGGACTAGCAGATGAAGGACCATCTGAGAGGCAGGTGCTGGGTGCGGATGGGCCCCAGGTCGCCTCTTTGTTTTTGTAGTAGTGGGCATGTTCGCACTGTCTCTCATTGTTAGGAAGCCGTGTCAGTGGGGCTGGTTCCCTGTGGACTCTCGTGTGAGCTCTGTCTGTTCCCTGCCCTGATCCCTGCATTCGCCCCCAGTCTTCTCCCTTTATTGACTGCATTCTAATTAGTTCAAGTCTGATCACATCACAGAAATAATCCTGGCCCACAGATTTATTTCCTGTGGTAAATGTCTTCTTGGTGGTTTTCTAGGTTGTGCTGGTGAGGTGGAATGAGCCCTACCAGAAACTGGCCACGTGCGATGCGGACGGAGGCATATTCGTGTGGATTCAGTACGAGGGCAGGTGGTCTGTGGAGCTGGTCAACGACCGCGGGGCGCAGGTGAGTGGCAGGCGCAGCTCTGCCAGTGAAGGGCTGCGGGGTAGAGGACTCCCAGACAGGCATTCCGGAGCCAGTGCGTTAGCACCACACAGCGCCACGTGCTCCAGAGCTGGGGGAAGAGAAATCAATCAAATTAGAATCCTACTTTTCATTTCTCTCACATATGTCACTGGATAAAAAGAGTACAGGATCATGCCCCCTTTTCAACCATGCTGCTGTTGTGAGAACTCTCCAACTTTCAAACTTTAATCAGATCTGTGAAGTCATTTTTTACCCTTCAGTGTTGTGATTCCATGTTAAATTTGGGGCCTCTGGCATATCACTGTTTTGCCCCCTTCGAAAGGTATCTTCCCTGTGTTGTCATCTCAGCGGTCTCATGGAGAGCTTCACGTGACTTCTCACAACCTGCTCAACAAGGAAAGGGTGCTACAATCTCTTCCACAGGCTTCAATCAGCACGGCCTCCTGTTGTCATCCTCCAGCTCTTCCTTTCTGACACAGTTTGTCTCTGCTCTCAGGAAACAGTTGCACCCAGGACAGCCTGCTGAGCTGCGCTGTTTCTAGAACTGCTCCATAGATTGTTCTGGTTTACAGGACGGCTTCATGGTGCACCTTTTGTATGGGTTTAAGGACACACATTGGAGCAGGCAGCTCCCATCCTGGGGATTGTACAAAACTGGGACTTAAGAACCTGAATCCTCAGGGGATGTCAATTAATAATTAATGAGGGGTTTCTTGGACTATTTTAACTCTCAGAATGATTTCCCTGTGGCTGCCTTTCTATACACTTCTAAGGTACTTGGATTCTCATCCTTCCCTCGCCCACCTGTTGCTTAAATAAGCTGTGAGCTTCCTAAGCTACAGATCAGTCAAGTGACATAAAATTACAATGAATGAAGACATTATTGTCAGCGGCTATTAGCAGGCCGAGGATTTCTGTAAGATATCATCACAGAAGACCCTGTGTGAAAACAGCATTTTTTTCTGAGTTGATTTGGTAGAGTAAATGTAATAATATTGACTGACTGATAAGGCCTTACCAGTTTCCTTCAGGCTCCTTCAGAGCCTGCCCCTTGACCATTAACTGGCCTTCTTGAAGGAGAGCCACAGATGTAGACATCTTCATGTGAGTGGACATGTGATTAAGAGCATGAGCTCTGGAATCAGACAATGTAGGCCGGAAATCCCACCCCATGACTTCTGTGTGGGAGATACTTGCCTGTGCCTCAGGATCACAGAGGATTACATAAGACTGTATATGAAAAGTGCCCATGGCACCGCTTGCATCTTATCACAGTGCCTGTAGCATGTGGAGGTTCTACCACCTTGTCTGGCATGGAACTGCCCTGCCCTGAAGCAGTAGCCATAGGTCATCACCAAAGATGAGTTTCAGGCCTTGAGGTAGCAGCTTTTCTTGGTTTCTGTGAAATGACCGCCTCTCCGAGTTGGCCTGTAAAGGTTCTAAAATGCTGTCATTCTTCCATTAACTAAAGCATGGGATTCTCTTCCCTAGAAAGGCCCAGTGATGAGGTGAGACATATCTTCAGATTTAGGGTGGCCAGAGGACTTGAAATCACTGCTCAGAAAAGGAAATGGAAGGGGAGCAAGGATAAATGCCAAATGAGTGCTTGATTTTTTCATGCGTTATATCTTTCAGTCTCCAGGAACCCTGTTCCAAAAATATCATTATTCTCAGTTAATAGAAGAGAAGAATCCAGGTCAGGAGTTGAGTAACTTGTCCAAGGAAGTTCATGGGTGGTAAGCCAGAACTCAAACCCTAGTTTGTTTGAGTCTGTAATGCTCCACCACACTGTCATGTTCCCAAACAAGAAATGATTTTCTCTTTTGGCAGAGATGCGTGTATTCATAGTGTAGTTACATGCTGCATAATGACGTTTCAGTTATCACAGACTGCATATACGACGGTGATCTCATAAGGTTGTAATGGAGCTGAAAAATTTCTATCACCTAGTGACACTGCAGCATGACACATGACTCGTGTTTGTGGTGTTACTGGTGTGAACAAACCTACTGTGATGCCAGCTGTATAAAAGTATAGCACATGCCATTAGTACAGTCCATAATGCTTGATAATAACAAATGACTATGTTACTGGTATTTACTGTACTTTTTATTATTTTAGATAGAGTGTGCTTCTTTTTTTTTTTTTTTTTTGAGACGGAGTCACGCTCTGTCGCCCAGGCTGGAGTGCAGGGGCACGATCTCAACTCACTGCAAGCTCCGCCTCCCGGGTTCACGCCATTCTCCTGCTTCAGCCTCCTGAGTAGCTGGGACTACAGACACCCACCACCACGCCCGGCTAATTTTTTTTTGTATTTTTTTTTTTTTAGTAGAGATGGGGTTTCACCACGTTAGCCAGGATGGTCTCGATCTCCTGACCTCATGATCCACCCGCGTCAGCCTCCCAAAGTGCTGGGATTACAGGCATGAGCCACTGCGCCCGGCCGCTTCTACTTATTAAAAAAAAAAAAAAAAGTTAGCAGTCTCAGGCAGGTCCTTCAGGAGGTATTCCTGAAGAAGGCATTGTTATCATAGGAGATGACAGCTCCGTGGATATGTTACTGCCCCTTGTGTTAGGGTTCTCTAGAGGGGTGGAACTAATGCGGTAGATGTATATATGAAAGGGAGTTTTTGAAGGAGAACTGACTCACACGATCACGAGGTAAAATCCCATGATAGGCCGTCTGCAAGTTGAGGGGCAAGGAAGCCAGTGGTGGATCCGTCTGAGTCCCAAAACCACAAAAGTTGGGAAGTTGACAGTGCAGCCTTGAGTCTGTGGCCGAAGGTCCAAGAGCCCCTGGCAAACCACTGGTGTAAGTCCAAGAGTCTAAAAGCTGAGGAACTTGGAGTCTGATGTTGAGGGCAGGAGGCATCCAGCACGGGAGAGAGATGAAGGCTGGAAGACTCTGCAAGTCATTCTTCCATCTTCTCCTTCCTGCTTTATTCTAGCTGCGCTGGCAGCTGATTAGATGGTGCCCACCCAGATTGAGGGGGGGTCTGCCTCTCCCAGTCCACTGACTCAAATGTTAATCTCCTTTGGCAACACCCTCACAGACACACCAGGAACAATACTCTGCATTCTTCAGTCCAGTCAAGTTTGACACTCAGTATTAACGATCACACCCCTGAAGACCTTCCAGTGGGACAAGGTGTGGAGGCAGAAGACAGTGATATGAATGATCCTGACCGGGTGTAGGCCTAGGCTAATATGTGTCTTAGTTTTTAACAAAAACATTTAAAAAGAAAAAAAAAATTAATAGAAAAAGCTTACAGCATAAGGATATAAAGAAAAACATAATTTGGTACAGCTATATGTTTGTGTTTTAAGTGTTATTACAAAAGGATCAAAAAAAGTATCAAACTTCTTGAAAAACTGAAAAGTTTAAAAAGTAAAACAGTTACAATAAGCTAAGGTTAATTCATTATTGAGGAAAGAACCATTTTTTTAATGAAATGAGTGCAGCCTAAGCATCCAGTGTTGATAAAGTCTACAGTAGCTACAAGGTAATGTCCTAGGCCTTCAGTCACTCTCCACTCACTCTCTGGCTCACCCAGAGCAACTTCTAGTCCTGCAAGCTCCATTCATGGTAAGTGCCCTTTTATAGATGAACCACTTTTTATCTTTTATACTGTATTCTTACTGTATGTTGTCTATGTTTAGATAGCTTTAGATACATGAATACTTGCCATTGTATTACAGTTGCCTACAGTGTTCAACACAATCACATGTGTACAGGTCTGTAGCCTAGGAGTAGTAGGCTGTCCCATACAGCCTAGGTGTGGAGCAGGCTCTACTGTCCAAGTTTGAGTAAGTGCACCCTGTGATGATCACACAACAAGGGAATTGCCTAATGACATACTTGTTAGAATGTATCCCCATTGTTAATCGACATGACTGTATACCCCAAGGAGCTCAGGCTTCATTACCATTAAAAGGCCCACCCTACCAGCCAAGCAGTGCCACCAGCACATGGATTCTCCTAGCAGTAGCCTCTGTGAGCAGGGGCCCTCTATCATCTCCATAGCAGCTGTGCAGTCACCACCATCCAACACTTCCCTTGTGTTTCTTTCCATTGAGGGTTTGGAGCAGATATTAGAAACAAGAAAGGGAGAATGAGTTCAGCCCTGGAGGCAAATGAGCTTCCCTGGGCCACAGAACATCTGGAAGCACCCAGAATCTCATAAATGCCTGCCTACCAGGTTTGACTAAAGTAATTACTGTATGTTGTGATCTCATTTTAGAGTTTTGTTTACTTTTGCCATTTGGAACTCAGATTTTTCAAATCTTAGAACCCACTGAGCAACTGTCATCATTAAACAGTGGCATTCTGGGGGAGGCTTGGTTGCCTTTAATCGTGTTGGAGTCAGATCTTACCCGACTAAAAAGGACACCACACACTGGTGACGATGGATCACTGGTCAAGGAACTGGTGGCTTTCTGCACCTGGAAAAGTTCTGTGGCTTAGAAGAGGAGTGTCCTTGAAACCAGCTCAGAGAAAAAGACTACTTTTTAGAAGAAATGACAGATTATTTTCATTATATAGCATGCTTTTCATTGTCACAAAGTAATCAAACATTTGGCAAAAGCTAAGAGATGCTTTAACAATTTCTTTTTCAGGAAATGATTAAGAGTCCTTTATTTCAAAAATGAGTTTGGAACAGTACATGCATTATTTTACAGTATTAGTCACCAGGGGCGGCTGTACCAGGCACACACACTCTGAGACAGTCTGATGAAAAGCTGCCTGGGTCAATGGCATGGTCAGCCTGCTGCTCAGCTTCAATTAATCCATGCCTGAGAACTCTTTAGTAAAGCAAGAGCATTGCAACCTTCTGCAGTTGAAAAACTAAAAGAACTGGAGTTTCTGCCTTTTTGTGTGTGTGTGTTTTTTTTTTTTTTTTTGGGAGCGGGGGAGACAGGGTCTCTCTGTCACCCAGGCTGGAGTGCAGTGGCGCATCTTCGGCTCACTGCAACCTCCACCTCCCGGGTTGAAGCAATTCTTTTGCCCCAGCCTCCTAAGTAGCTGGGATTACAGGCATGCATCACCACACCCGGCTATTTTTTTATACTTTTAGTAGAGACAGGGTTTCACCATGTTGCCCAGGCTGTTCTTGAACTCCTGGGCTCAGGTGATCCACCCGTCTTGGCCTCCCAAAGTGCTGGAATTGCAGGCATGAGCCACCACTTTTTTTTTTTTTTTTTTTTAAGCAATTCGATACTTGGTTTTCTCTGGTTTTGTTTTTCCAGTTGTGATATAGTCTTATCACATTATGTTGACCTAATAAACCCAAATTGAGCCAAGTGGCTAGTTGGGAGACTGAGTCAAGAGGATCTCTTGTGACCAGAGTTCAAGATCAGCCTGGACAATATAGCAAGACCTCATCTCAACAAAAATAGTTTTAAAATTAGCTTGGTATGGTTTCACAACCCTGTAGTCCCAGCTACTCGGAAGGCGGCAATGGGAGGATTGCTTGAGCAATCCATTTGAGGCTGCAGTGAACTATGACTGTGCCACTGCACTCCAGCCTGGGCAACAAAGCAAGACCAAGTCTCTAGACAAATAAACAGAAACCCAATTAGTCCATGTGAACATCCTCTATTACCAGTTTTTTTGTGTGATGTAAAATTGCTGGTATCTCTAAGAAGCTTCATTTTACTGGCTATGTGTTTTGGCTATGGATTAAGGAGATTTCCCAAAATAGTTTTCTCTTTTAGTACAAATCTTTTTTAAAATACATAGTTAAAATGCATGTAAGTAAATAGCATTATCTTTGCAAAATGAAAGAGCTTTTTATTTTTATTCCAGAATGTAATGCGTTGTTTCTGAAAAACATTGTTTTATGTTAATGAGAAAAACCAGACAGTATAATTGGTTGGAACATAAAGTCAGTAAAGCCAAGGTTCTGAGTTTATCTGAGGAAACAACTTTTTTCAGTAATCTCAGACCAGCTATTCAAGAGCTATCTCACAAACCATGCCATTGTCATGATAGAGACATTGCTGATAACACAACATAAACCCATAACCCCTACTTGAAAAACAGCAAGAAGTTCATGTTCTTTTGGTGTTTGTTCATTTATTTTCTCATTACCTGAAATGTAATATATCCATTAATACCATAGATTTTTTAAAAAGCTAAATGTTTGTAGCTATAAGCAACATTGAAGATTATAGATAGCATTTGTTTTGTTAGATAAGATTAAAAAGAAACACAATGTAGGACAAATTGAAAAAGTAAACCAAGGTGGTAGAAAACAGGAACAAATATAATGCTAATTAGAATAAATGTAAATGGATTAAATTTACCAATCAAAAGATACAGCTTAGCAGATTACATTTGTAAAAATCTAGATAACAGTATATCTTGTTTAGAGCCACACCTCAAACTTAAGGACATAAACACATTTAAAGGATGAGAAAGATGTATCTTGCAAATACCAAGAAAAAAAATAAAGCTGATGTAGCTGTATGTTAGTATCAGATAAAGTAGATTTGAAGACAAAGTATTATTTGGTTCGTAGAAGACAGAAAGGATTATTTGGTAAGCTGTAGTTTACCAAGAGCATATTTTAAATATGTATACACTTATTAATAGCATCACAATAAGTGAAGGAAACTAATAGAACTGAAAGGAAAAATTGATAAATCCATTGACATACTCAGACATTTTAACGACAGTCAGCAAAGATGTAGATGATCTGAGCAACACAATTAACAAGCTTGACCTAAAGGACATTTATAGGTTCTTAATTCACCAATTAGACAACATACTTTTTTCTCAAACACAGAAGGGTTATAAAAATTGATCATATTCTAGGGCAGGATTCTGCAAACCTTTTCTGTGAAGGGTCAGATAGTAAATATTTTAGGTTTTGTGGACAAGGAGCCAAAATTGAGGATATTATATAGGTATCATATAACAAGAGGAAAATCAGATTTCCAAAAGATTTTTATTGACAAAATTTAAAATTTGATTTATGAACACTGAAATTTGAATTTTATGTAATTTCAAATAACAAAATATCATTCTTCTTTTGATTTTTTTCTTCTCAACCACTTAAAACCATTCTCAGTTTGTGGGCCATACAAAAATAGGTGACAGGTCAGATTTGGCTCACAGGCCATAGCTTGCCAATCCCTGTTCTACGACTTAAATAAAAAACAGATTTCCAGTGTCAGGCATGATGATTATAGACCACGATCTCTGAACACAGTGCAACTGGGTTAGAAGTTAATAACGACGAGATAAGAGATCCCTGTCTGTTTTTTGTTTTGTTTTGTTTTCTGACCGAGTTTCATTCTTGTTGCCTAGGCTGGAGTGCAATGGCGCCATCTCGGCTCACTGCAATCCTTGCCTCCCGGGTTCAAGCGATTCTCCTGTCTCAGCCTCCAGAGTAGCTGGGATTACAGGCACCCGCCACTACACCTGGCTAATTTTTGTTTTTTTTTAGTAGAGACGAGGTTTCACCATGTTGGCCAGGTGGGTCTCAAACTCCTGACCTCAGGTGATCCACCTTCCACATCCTCCCAAAGTGCTGGGACTACAGGCGTGAGCCACCTCGCCCGGCCTATTTAGGCATTTTAAAATATATTGTTAAATAGCTCATGGTTTACAGAATATGTTTAATAGACATTTATAAAATCCTAGATCTAAATTATAATGAAAACATGTCAACAAAGCGTCGAACTCTGTAAAATATTTGAAGAGATTTATTCTGAGCCAAACATGAGTGACCATGGCCCATGACACAGCCCTCAGGAAGTCCTGAGAACATGTGCCCAAAGTGGTCGGGCCGCAGTTTGGTTTTTATACACTTTGGAGAGGCGTGAGACATTAATCAAATACATTTAAGAAATGCATTGGTGGCCGGGCGCGGTGGCTCACGCCTGTAATCCCAGCACTTTGGGAGGCTGAGGTGGGCGGATCACGAGGTCAAGAGATCAAGACCATCCTGGCTAACACGGTGAAACCCTGTGTCTACTAAAAATACAAAAAAATTAGCCAGGCGTGGTGGCACGCGCCTGTAGTCCCAGCTACTCGGGAGGCTGAGGCAGGAGAATGGCGTGAACCCGGGAGGCGGAGCTTGCAGTGAGCCGAGATCGCGCCACTGCACTCCAGCCTGGGCCACAGAGCGGGGCTCCGTCTCAAAAAAAAAAAAAGAAATACATTGGTTTGGTCCAGAAAGGCAGAACAACTCAAAGGGGTCCGGGAGGTTCCAGGCTATGGTGAATTTAAATATTTTCTAGTTGACAATTGGTTGAGTTTGTCTGAAGACCCGGGATTGATAGAAAGATAATGTTCAGGTTAAAATAAAATTTTGTGCAGCCCAAAGTTCTTTTGCAGTCTTATAGTGGCTGTCCTTAGAGACAGTAGGATGACAAATGTTTCCTATTCAGATTTTAGGTAGTCTCTTTAGAATTGGGAGGGTCTGGAATCAAAAGATCTAGCGATGTTAATAGAGATTCTTTACAGATGCAAATTTTTCCCCACAAAGAACAGCTTTGTAGGGCCATTTCAAAATATGGCAAAGAAGCACGTTTTGGGGTAAAATATTTTTATTTTCTTGTCTTGTAATGTTACGCCAGAGTGAGGTTGGAAAGTAAATCATGATATATAGTGTTAAATAAAACCCAACCTATGTGATGAGAGTTTATGATTTGTAGGGCATGACTCCCCAGACCCCTTAGATAGGAATTTGGGCAAGGTAAAAGAATAAGAATTTAGTCCTTCATTGTATACCGGAATTTGTGAGATATGATTAAAGTGGTGCTGTGAGAGAAATGTATATCCTTAATTACTTATATTAGCAATAAAACTGTGATCATTGGTCAGATAGGTATTTATCTTAAAATATTATTAATTGAAAAGGAGAGTAAATCCAATGAAAGAAAAAGTAAGAAATAATAAAAATGAAAGTGAAAATTAGTACAATAGGGAAAAATGATAAGGTAGAGATCAACAAATCCAAAAATTAGTTCTTTGGAAACAAATCAACAAAATAGACAGATGTCTTGCAAAACTGATCAAGAGAAGAACACAGAAATAAACAATTTTATGAATGAAAAATTGGGCATAGCTATAAATAGAGATTACAAGGTAACCAAACGTAAATTATAAGATGCAGGTAGTTCAATGGGGGAAAGGTAAATCTTTTCAACAAATGGTGCTGAAACAACTGAATATCTGTATTTTTTAAAAAGAAAACCTTGATTCTTACCTCACACCGTGCATAAAAATTAACTCTAGATGAATCAGAGATAAGTGATACGGCTCCAGTGAGTGGAGGAACACCAGGGTTCTTAATTCTCAGGCCAGTTTAGACAAAACACGGACACATGTGGAGCGGTTTTAAGGAGCGGAGAGTTTAATAGACAAGAAGGAAGCGGAAGGCAGAAGGAAGAGGCTCCCCCATACAGAGATAGAGGGAGAGGAGGCTCCAAAGCCGAAAGAGGAGGTCCCCAAGTGCGGTGGATACCAGCCAGGTCTATATGCAGAGGCTGAAGGAGGCGATGTCAGATTTGCATAGGGCTCAGGGGATTGGTTTGACCAGGCATGTGATTCACCATGTAGCCTGCGGAAAACGCTGGCCCTCCCACCCCAGCCTTTAAATATGCAAATGCAGGACGCCAAGGATGTTCCACACACGTGGGGATATGTGGGGGCGGCCATGTTGCCAGGAACACCTGGGACAAGGGCCGGAAGGCGCCCGAATCGCCATGTTGGATGGACCCAGTTTCTAATGGTCTGCATTTGCATATCAAAGGTTGCTAGCCTGGCTCTAAGAAACTTACAGGCTCACGCCTGTAATCCAAGCTCTCAGGGAGGCAGAGGCCGGAGGATAGCTTGAGCCCAGGAAGTGGAGACCTGCCTGGGCAATACAGCAAGACCCCTTCCTCCACAAAAAAGAGGGGGGGGGGGGGAAAGAAACCTTCCCAGGACCCCTTTTCCTCTCTATCTGCCTACAATAATAACTCCTGCAACGTAAGTGTAAAAGCTAAACCTCTAGAAGTCTTTGCAGCCTGGGGCTAAATAAAGATTTCTTAGACTGGATGCAGAAAACGTGATCCATAAAAGAAAAAACTTGATATTAGACTTCATCGAAATTTAATGATACGAAGTTACAGTTAGACAGGAAAATAAGTTTTGGTGTTCTGTTACACAGTAGAGTAAGTATAGCAAATAACAATGTAGAGCATATTTCAAGATTGCTAGAAGAGAAAATGTTAAGTATTGTCACCACAAAGAAATGATAAATGTTTAACATGATATGGCATTAACTCTGATTTGATCATTATACTATGTATTCATGCATTGAAACATCACATTGTACTCTATACATATATACAGTTATTATGGGCCAATTATAAATTAAATTTTTTCTTAATTTAAACTTGTTTGTTGTTATTTGTTTTTGTTTTTTGTTGTTGTTGTTGTTGTTGTTTTGAGATGGAGTCTCACCCTGCCACGCAGGCTGGAGTGCAGTGGCGCAATCTTGACTCACTGCAAGCTCTGCCTACTGGGTTCATGCCATTCTCCTGCCTCAGCCTCCCAAGTAGCTGGGACTACAGGTGCCTGCCACCACACCCGGCTAATTTTTTGTATTTTTAGTAGAGACGGGGTTTCACCGTGTTAGCCAGGATGGTCTCGATCTCCTGACCTCGTGATCCGCCCACCTCAGCCTCCCAAAGTGCTGGGATTACAGGTGTGAGCCACCGCGCCTGGCCAACTTCTTCTCTTTGGAAGATACCATTAAAAAAATGAAAAGGCAAGCCAAAGACTGGAGAAAATATTTGAAGTACACATATCTGATAAAGGATTATATCTAGAATTTATAGAGAAATTTTATGACAGTAAGAAGGTGAAAACTGATATTTACTATATATTTTTAAAATATATTTGCCCGTGTTCATACAGTCATCCCTTGGTATCCATAGCGGATTGGTTCCAGGACTTTCCACAGATACTGAAATTCATGGAAGCACACGTATATGATGTAAAACGGTATATTTGTATATAATCTATGCACATCATCTTGTATACTTACTTATTTACTTATTTTGAGATGGAGTCTCGCTCTGTGCTGGAGTGCAGTAGCTTGATATCGGCTCACTGCAACCTCCGCCTCCCAGATTCAAGTGATTCTCCCGACTCAGCCTCCTGAGTAGCTGGGACTACAGATGCGCACTACCACACCTGGCTAATTTTTGCATTTTGAGTAGAAACAGGGTTTCACCATGTTGGACAGGCTGGTCTTGAACTCCTGACCTCAAGTGATCTGCCTGCCTTGGCCTCCCAAAGTGCTGGGATTACAGGTGTGAGCCACTGCGCTCAGCCCATCTTGTATACTTCAAATCATTTCTAGATTACTTATAATACCTAATACAATGTAAATGCTAAATAAATAGTTGTTGTATTATTTAGGGGTAATGACAAGGGGAGAAAAAAGCGTACATGTTCAATACAAATGTAATTTTTTTCCAATTTTTATTCAAAGTTGGTTGAATTCATGGATACAGAATCCATGGATACAGATGACAAACTGTATATGGAAAGAGATTTGAACAGATATACCCCAAAAGATGTGTAGATGATCAATCAACACATGAAATGATGCCCAACATATTAGTCATTATGGAAATGCAAGTTAGACAATGTCGGCTGGGCACGGTGGCTCGTACCGGTAATCCCAGCACTTTGGGAGGCCGAGGTGGGCGGATCACAAGGTCAGGAGATCGAGACCATCCTGGCTAACATGGTGAAACCCCGTCTCTACTAAAAATACAAAAAAATTAGCCGGGCGTGGTGGTGGGCGCCTGTATTCGCAGCTACTCGGGAGGCTGAGGCAGGAGAATTGTTTGAACTCGGTAGGCGGAGCTTGCAGTGAGCTGAGATCGTGCCACTGGACTCCAGCCTGGGTGGCAGAGTGAGACACCATCTCAAAAAAAAAAAAAAAAAAAAAAAAAAAGACAATGTCATACACCTACTAGAATAGTTAAAATTAAAATGACTGACAACAGGCTGGGTGCGGTGGCTCACACATGTAATCCCAGCACTTTGGGAAGCCGAGGAGGGCCGATCACCTGAGGTCGGGAGTTCGAGATCAGCCTGACCAACGTGGTGAAACCTCGTCTCGACTAAAAATACAAAATTAGCCAGGTATGGTAGCAGGCGCCTGTAATCCCAGCTACTCGGGAGGCTGCAGCCGGAGAATCACTTGAACCTGAGAGGTGGAGGTTGTGGTGAGCTGTGATCGTGCCATTGCACTCCAGCCTGGAAAAGAAGAGCAAAACTCCGTCTCAAAAAAAAAAAAAAAAAAAAAAATGGCAGCCGACGCAAGTGTAAAATGACGTAACCACTTAGTTTTTTTGTTTCTGTTTTAGGTTTTTTTTTGTTTGTTTTGTTTTGTTTTTTTGAGACGGAGTCCCACTCTGTTGCCCAGGCTGGAGTGCACGATCTTGGCTCTCTGCAACCTCCACCTCCCAGGTTCAAGCGATTCTCCTATTTTAGCCTTCTGAGTAGCTAGGATTACAGGCACCTGACACAACCCCAGGCTAGTTTTTGTATTTTTAGTAGAGATGGGAAACCCATCTCTGGTCTCGAACTCTTGAGCTCCAGGTGTCCACCCATTTTGGCCTCCCAAAGTGTTGGGATTATAGGCGTGAGCCACCTCGCCCTGCCCTGTTTTTTGACTTTTTAATCGTAGCCATTCCAACTGATGTGAGATGGTGTCTCATTGTGTTTTTGATTTGCATTTCTCTAATCAGTGAAGTTGAGCCTTTTTAAATATGCTTGTTGGCTGCATGTATGACTTCTTTTGAAAAGTGTCAGTTCTTATTTTTTGTCCACTTTTTAATGGGGTTGTTTTCTTGTAAATTCGTTTAAGTATCCTTATAGATGCTGTATATTAGACCTTTGTCAGATGCGTACTTTGTAAAATTTTTCTCCCATTCTGTAGATTGTCTATTTACTTTATTGATAGTTTCTTTTGCTGTTCTGAAGCTCTTTAGTTCAACTAGATCTTGTTTATCAATTTTTGCTTTTGTTGCTATTGCTTTTGGTATCTTCATCATGAAATCTTTGCCCGTTCCTATGTCCAGAATGGTATTGCCTAGATTGTCTTCAGAGGTTTTTATTGTTTGGGTTTTTACATTTAAGTCTTTAATCTTGAGTTGATTTTTGTATATTGTATAAGAAAGGGGTCCAGTTTCAACATTCTGCATATGGCTACCCAGTTATCCCAGCACCATTTATTGAATAGGGAGTCCTTTCCCCGTTGTTTGTTTTTGTCAGCTTTGTCAAAGATCAGATGGTTGTAAATATGCAGCCTTATTTCTGGGTTCTCTGTTCTGTTCCATTGGTCTGTGTGTCGTTTTTGTACCAGTACCATGCTGTTTTGGTTACTGTAGCCCTGTAGTATAGTTTGAAGTCAGGTAGCATGATGCCTCCAGCTTTGTTCTTTTTGCTTAGGATTGCCTTGGATCTTTGGGCTCTTTTTTGGTTCCATATGAATTTAAAAATAGTTTTTTTCTGGTTCTATGAAGAATGTCATTGGTAGTTTGATAGGAATAGCATTACATCTGTAAACTGTTTTGGGTAGTATGGCCCTTTTAGTGATATTGATTCTTCCTATCCGTGAGCATGTAGTATGTTTCCATTTGTTTGTGTCATCTCTGATTTCTTTGAGCAGTGTTTTGTAGTTCTCTTTGTAGAGATCCTTCACCTCACTGGTTATCTGTATTCCTAGGCATTTTATTCTTTTTGTTTCAGTTGTGAATGAGAGTTTGTTCCTGATTTGGCTCTTGGTTTGGCTGTTGTTTGTGTGTAGGAATGCTAGTGATTTTTGTATGTTGATTTCGTATCCTGAGACTTTGCTGAATAGCAATTTGGATAGACAAATTATGGTATATTCATACAACGGAATAATATGTATAAAAAGGAATGAACTACTGACACACGGAATTCAGATGACACTCAACATCTTTATACTGAGTAAAAGTAGTCAGACAGAGAAGTTGAACATACTATATGGTACCATTCGTGCAAAATTCTAGAATGAACAACCAGTGACAGAAAGCAGATCACTGTTTGCCTAGGACTAGGGTTGGGGATTGACTTCTGGGGCGAGGAGGGACTTTACTGCATGTAAATTATACCTTAATAAAGTTGATTTTTAAAAGGAAAATATTAACAACTACTTGCCAGCAGTTTTGAAAACTTACATGAAATGGACAAATTCCTTTTCAAAATTATCAGACCTTTTTTTTTTTTTTTTTTTTTTTTTTTTTTTTTTTTTTTTTGAGACGGAGTCTCGCTCTGTCGCCAGGCTGGAGTGCAGTGGCATGATCTCGTCTCACTGCAACCTCCACCTCCCAGGTTCAAGCGATTCTCCTGCCTCAGTTTCCTGAGTAGCTGGGACTACAGGCGCGTGCCACCATGCCCAGCTAATTTTTGTATTTTTAGTAGAAACAGGGTTTCACCATGTTGGCCAGATGGTCTCGATCTCTTGACCTCGTGATCTGCCTGCCTCAGCCTCCCAAAGTGCTGGGATTACAGGCGTGAGCCACCACACCCAGCCCTAAAATTACCAGAACTGACTCAAGAAGTAAAAAGGTTGAAAGTTTAGACTGGGCACAGTGGCTCATGCCTGTAATTCCAACACTTCGGGAGACCAAGGCAGACAGATCACTTGAGGTCAGGAGTTGGAGACCAGCCTGGCCAACATGGCAAAACCCCATCTCTACTAAAAATACAAAAATTAGCTGGGTGTGGTGGTGGTGCGTGCCTGTAATCCCAGCTACTCAGGAGACTGAGGCAAGAGAATCGCTTGGACCCGGGAGGTGGAGGTTGCACTGAGCCAAGATCATGCCACTGCATTCCAGCCTGGGCAACAGAGCAAGACTCTGTCTCAAAAGAAAACGTGAAAGTTTAGTACTAGGACTATTAAATTGAATAAGTGGTTAATAATCTTCCCATTACAAAAATACATAGTCAGATGATTTGGCAGGCTTGTCTACCAAACTTTCAAGCAACAAATCATCTGTTTATACAAATTCTTCTGGGCATTGAAGAAAGAGGGACTACTTCAGCTCATCTTGAGAGGGTAACGTAACCCTGCTAAATCCAGAGACGCACATTACCAAAACAAAATCACGGGTCTACTACATTCATGAATGCAGATGCAGAAAATCTAAAGACACTAGCAAATCAGCTTCAACTGTGCATATAAAAGACAATACCTCTAAATTGGACTCTGGTAGGTATGCAAGAATAGTATGATATGTAAAAATCCATACAAATAACTTACCACAATAGATTAATAGAGGGAAAAATGTGGTCATTTGAATAGATGCAATAGCATTTGATAAACTTAACACTCAAGTATAAGTAATGTTTTTCAGTTAGATTTTTTTTTTTCTTCATTCTGATTGAGGGGGTATTGTTAGCAAGACTGAGGGGCAATATAATCAGAAACTTAGAGCTTTACTGTTTTGGTAAGGGACCAACAGACTCTGATGGAGAATCTATTACTAACCATAAGTGAGAGGCAGTGTAACAGTGGTTGAAAGGAAAGACCCTGTAGCCAGATATTCCTGGGATTTTTCCTGTTTCTGTCTCTTGCCTGCTATGTTGACTGAGTCTTCTCTGTAGATGAGAACAGTAATACCTTCCGCAGACTGTTGACTTGAGGCTTAATGAATTAATGTACATGAAACATACAGAACACTGGTGATGCACAGTATGCACTGAAGTCAGTTTCAATCATTTTTCTTAAAAAAATTTCTTTAGAGACAATACCTTGTTCTGTCACCCAGGCTGGAGTACAGAGGCACCATGATCGCTCACTAAGGCCTCAACCTCCTAGGCTCAAGGAATCCTCCCACCTCAGCCTCCTGAGTAGCTAAGACCACAGGTGTCTGCCACTGCTCCCGACTAATTATTTTGAGACAGAGTCTCACTCTGTTGCCCAGGCTGGAGTGCAGTGGCGCTATCTTGGCTCACTGCAACCTCTTCTTCCCAGGTTCAAGTGATTCTCTCACCTCTGCCTCCCAAGTGGCTAGGACTACGGGCACGTGCCAGCACGCTTGCCTCATTTTTGTATTTTTAGTAGAGATGGGGTTTCACCATGTTAACCAGGCTGGTCTCAAACTCCTGACCTCAAGTAATCTGCCTGCCTCGGCCTCCCGAAGTGCTGGGATTACAGGCATGAGCCACTTTACCCGGCCCCGACTAATTCTTAAAATTTTTGTAGAGGTAGTATCTCGTTATTTTGTCTAGGCTGGGCTCGAACTCCTGGCTTCAAGTGATCCTCTCACTTTGGCTTCCCAGCATTCTGGGTTTACAGGCATGAGGCACTGTGGCTGGCCTCAGTAACGTTTTTATAGCTTTCAAATAACATATGTTATATTTTAAGGCCATCTCCATCTTAGCCAAAAGTCTAAGTTAATGACTATGTCTAGACTTTGATAAAATGTTTTCCTTTTCAGATTACAAATTGACTCTTTTCTGTGTGTGTCCCCAAGGTGAGTGATTTCACGTGGAGCCATGATGGAACTCAAGCACTTATTTCCTATCGAGATGGGTTTGTCCTGGTTGGGTCTGTCAGTGGACAAAGACACTGGTCATCCGAAATCAACTTGGAAAGTCAAATTACGTGTGGCATATGGACTCCTGACGACCAACAGGTAACACTTCTGAAATGTGGTGGGTGTGTGACGTTAAAACCATGAGGGCTGGGAGGGAAGAAAGGGGCAGGAGAGGGGAGCTGGTGCAAAAGCCTCTTTAAGAATCACAATGGAAAAGAACAATAAAACTGTCCAGGTAAAAATTAAAATAAAAATTCTAAATGAACCATAAATTGGAAAAACAACATTTCCCACCAATATGGTAACATTAAGTTAACATTTTAATTATATAAAATGTTCATACAATTTTATTAATAAAATCTGCATAAATATGCAGTTGATATTAGATATCAAGTAAGTTGATACTAAGCTTAAAAAAAATCAGGATAGGAAATGGGATGTTTGGTATATTGCTACATCGTAAGACAACAAAGAAGCCCATCCACATGGTAAAAAGCTGGAGGGAAGTGAATCAAAAAATTATAAGCAATTTTATAGTAATGAGCCTCTGGTTCGTTTTTTAAAAATTGAATTTCAAAATGTTCTTTAATGTGCCTATTTGACTTTCATGAGAAAATAACATATAATAACAATAAAATTCTATATTGATAATTCATTTTGGAGGCCAGGCACGGTGGCTCACGCCTGTAATCCCAACACTTTGGGAGGTGGAGGCGGGTGGATCACCTAAGGTCAGGATTTCGAGACCAGCCTGACCAATATGGTGAAACCCTGTCTCTACTAAAAAAAAAATACAAAAATTAGCCAGGCATGATGGCGGGCGCCTGTAATGCCAGCTGCTTGGAGGCTGAGACAGGAGAATTGCTTGAACTGGGAGGTGGAGGTTGCAGTGAGCCAGGATTGTGCCACTGCGCTCCAGCCTGGGTGACAGAGCGATACTCCATCTCAAAAATGAAATGAAAATTTTTAAAGTATAAGGATTGACTAGTTAAAATCTTTATAAAACTTGTGTTTTCCATGTATAGCAGAATACATATAATGCCAGAATGTTTTATCCCAGAGATTTAAGTTTATTATTGGTAAAAAACCAAGCAGTATAATATGGAACCGTAACTTTCATTTTTGAGCCACTTTTTTTTAACTGAATTGCTTTCCTCTAGTCACTATATATTTAATGTTTCCATTTTTCAAGTAAAAAGACAAATATTTTTTCTCTTCTCAAAATTGGTATTATGAGATTTATGAAAAGGTATTTTCAGCTCCATGTTTCTTCCCTTGCTTTCCCCAGAGGCTTCCAATTATCCCCTAGTATTTGTGTGTATTTATATGAAATGCTTAGATTCCTTTATTATAAAGCTGCATTTTTATGGGTTTTTACTACCCCCGAGTCTCAGAAGTGCGTTGCATTAAGTGACCTTGCCCGAGGCACCTGATCTTTCCTGTATCAGTTTCTCCTGTGTGACAAGGACTGTGTATTATTTCCTGCCTAATCCCCAGGGCTTTTTAATGATCAAATGAAGGAACAGATGTGAAAGCCCTTAAAAATCCAGGAGTGGATGTCTTGGCTTCACATTCTTCCCTCGCCTAGAGTGATGGAACCCATGAGCCATCTGTGAGGCTCATCTCATGGTCCTCTGATGAGTTGTGCCAGCCAGTGTCCCCAGCAGACTGTGCACATGTAGGACAGGCAGGGGACCCACTGGGGATACAGCAGTG
The DNA here is from genome assembly GCF_000001405.40 of Homo sapiens. NCBI lineage: Eukaryota > Metazoa > Chordata > Mammalia > Primates > Hominidae > Homo > Homo sapiens. The sequence continues at coordinate 158,431,515 of NC_000006.12, forward strand.
AGAGAGACGCAGCTCTTGCCTTTGAGGTACAATTGGACCTGTTGAGGAGACAGACCTCTCCTTACACAGAATCTGCTGCCGTGGCTTGGCAACGTGTGGAGGAGGACTTCCCAGGAAGGGCTGGCTGTGACTCCCAAGTCGAATCTGGGGTACGTTGTTCCAGGCAGCCCAAGCAGAGTTCCAGGGTATTGACACCATGGTGTGCACGTACCACAGGGAGTGGTTTCCTGCTGCCGTGGAACGTGAAGGGGGACTCCTGGGGCTGGAGGAGTCGGTAGGACAATGGCCATGGGAAGCATGGAGGCCATGCTGACGTGCCTGGCCTTGAGTCTGTAGACCTTGGCGTGAGGAAAGAGCTGATGTGGCAAGCAATTGGGTACGTGGCCGCAGCCTCTGTCCTGATGACTGCTTTTACTAACAGGTGGGATTTTGTTCTAGGAAAGCGCCCCCACTGCCTTTAAATAAAATGGTTGCAGCAGGGTGCCTGTTGTCTCAGCTAGTCAGGAGGCTGAGGTGGGAGGCTCACTTGAGCCCAGGAGTTCTCGAGACCAGCCTAGGCAACATAGCAGGACCCCATCTCTGAAAAAAAAAAAAATTAAAAAAAAAAAAAAAAGGATTTGCAGGTCACTGAAGCAATAAGGACCCTGGGAAAAATTTACCACAGAGAACATGTGTATCAGGCACTCAGTCTTGTTTGAACTGAGACATAGAGCAGGAATACTCCTCCTCCTGTCTCTACCACTCATTCACATCTCTTGCTTGGTTTGATTTTATCAATGAAAAAAGAGTCCATAGACAGGTTGTGGGCCAGCCTGATGTCTGTAATGTCAGGAGTTGGATGTGGAAAGCGCACCCCTGCAGCTCAGGGGCTCTGAACGGTGGACATGAAGGTAGAGCTGCAGGAAGCCGGATGAGTCTCTTCCTGCTTCCCTGAGAACTTTCTGCCTTTAATGTGAGTTAAAATAGCTTCCAGGAGTAAACCTCTTCCTCACATCTTGAGCTATATTGGATTATAGTGGGATTTTAGGCTACTTCCTGTCAACTTTAAAAAATATAAGCAGTGCATGGCTGGGCACGGTGGCTCACGCCTGTAATCCCAGCACTTTGGGAGGCCAAGGCGGGTGGATCATGAGGTCAGGAGATTGAGACCATCCTGGCCAACATGGTGAAACCCCGTCTGTACTAAAAATAGAAAAATTAGCTGGGCATAGTGGCATGTGCCTGTATTGTGCGCTGTTTTGCCAACTTTCTATTATGAATATGTTCAAATGTACAGAAAAGTTGAGAAAATAAACCTTCCTGAAACATTTTGCCATATTTGCACTTTTTCCTCACCACTCCCCACTTTTTTGTAGTTCTTGTTTTTGAAAGTAAGTGGTAGACATCGTGGCACATCACCCTTATATATTTCAACATGTGTTTCCTGAGAATAAAGCCTTTCACCTGCACAGGCACCCCTAAGAAATTAGCAATGACATTATCTGGTATCTAGGCTACCTTTTTATTTCCCTAATTGTTACAGGAATGTATTTCATAGTCTTTTTTGGTTTTTTGGAACCAGGATCCAGTTTAATTCATGTACAGCAGTTGGTTGTTCTGTCTCTACAGTCTTTTAGTCTAGAACAGTTTCCCGTTTTTTAAATTGACTTTTTCATGAGGTCAGTGTGGCCACCTTACACGCTGTCCCCACACTCTAGATTTGTCTGATTGTGTTTACTTATAGTATCATTTTCCTTCCGGCCCTTGTATTTCCTATAAACTGGAAGTTAAGTCTAGACTAGAGTTGGAGTAAACAATTTTGGCAAGAATACTTTAAAGGTAACATATTCTTTACTCTGAACCACACTAAAAAGTGTATAATGTCTCATCCTAGTCTGAGGGTTGCTGAGTTTAATGGAACCTTTGTAAAAACAAAAGTTGCTAGGCGCAGTGGCTCACGCCTGTAATCCCAACACTTTGGGAGGCCGAGGCAGGTAGATCACGAGGTCAGGAGATCGAGACCATCCTGGCTAACACGGTGAAACCCGTCTACTAAAAATACAAAAAATTAGCCAGGCGTGGTGGCACGTGCCTGTAGTCCCAGCTACTCCGGAGGCTGAGGCAGGAGAATTACTTGAACCCAGGAGGCATTGCAGTGAACCGAGATGGCGCCATTGCACTCCAGCCTGGTAACAAGAGGGAAACTCTGTCTCAAAAAAAAGTTATTTTTCACAGCATGTTGTTAATGTCATCTACACTTAAACAGCTGATTTGTTCAAAGGATGTGTTTTACTTCAGGCTAAAATTCATCTTCCATTAAATTGCAAGAAGGGAATGTAATCCTACCTGGAATTTATTTAGTGGGTGAGGACTCTGTATTAGTTTGCTTGGGCTGCCATGACAGAATATCACAGACTGGGCGGTTTCAACAACAGAAGTGTATTTCTCACAGTTCTTCTGGAGGCTAGAAGTCCAAGATCAAGGTGTTGGCAGGTCTCATTTCTCCTGAGGCCTGTCTCCTTGGCTTACAGACACCTGCCTTCTTATTGTGTTCTCACGTGGACTTTTCTCTGTGCACCCACATTTCTGGTGTCTCTTCCTCTTCCTGTAAGGACACCAGTCCTGTTGGATTAGGTTCCCACCCATATTACCTCATTTAACTGTAGTTACCTCTTTACAGGCCCCATCTCCAAAAATAGTCACATTTGGGGTTCAACACATTTGTTCAACAAAATTCAACATATGAGTTTTGGGGCACACAATTCAGTCCATAATAGACTGATAGAAAATATTTTGGAGAATATAAAAGTTACAGAAGAAATAGTGATATAAACTCAGCTTGATAAACTTAGGATATATTTGTAAATAGAACAGGTTTTATAGGGCTTGGGAGCAAACCAGAATGACACAAAGAGAAAATGTCAAATAAATATAAGTATGACTGGGAAAAATATCTGGGTCCTAAGTTGACGCAGAGTAATGCTGCAACAGTGAAGCTTTTGCAGTTCTGGAAACATCCAGCATCACAGCAGGGTCTGCCAGAGCGAATGTTTCATTGTCTGTGTTCTCCTTGGGTTTAGGAGAATACCTTGCCCCTTGATATGTGAAAATTATTTGAGACGTTGACATTTTGAAATATTCTTCCAGCATGTTTTGGATCTTAGCTAACTGTCAATTCACTTGGAAAGCCTTTCAACTAGAGAATGCAATGAGAACCTGAGCTGTGTTTCCATGAAAAAGGTTGACATGCTGATATGCCACCCAGCATTTCCATGCTGAGTGTGGTCCTCCTAGGGCGGTGACCAGCTGATGTGCCTGAGGCCACTGAGGAAAGGTCAAAAGAAGAGCCCCAAACTTCAATTTGAGACTCCAGTTTAAATGTGGAAGAATTTTGTGGTAACTTCTGAATGAAAGTTACCACATACATGAAATGGCATGGGAAGAAGACTCTCTCCTTGTTCCTGCCAGTCTGGGGGAGCTCCAAGAAGCAGCCCCCACACGTTTCTCTGCTGTGGGAGACAACGGGCTCTGCCCAGAACTCTTCCCAGGCTGCGGCTTTGTCCCTGTGTCATCTCTGATACCCCATCTCCAGAGAGCTCCTGCAGTGAGGCACATACATAATATGGGTGCATGAACCATTTTTTAAATCATCTTAAGACAATTTCAAGGCGTTAAAGCTTATGGAAGTTAGTGACACCCATTTCCCCCCACAGTCAGGGTAGCCCCCTGTCCTGGGTCAAGCAAAGATGAGTATCTTGTGTATGTCTTCCAGGCATTTGCAGCTTCCCTCCCCAGTCAGTGGTTCCTGTTTCTTGCCCCAGGAGCCACAGAGCATGCTTCTCTCTGGGCTCTTGGCCTCAGATGCGGTCTCCTTGGCAGCCTGGTGCTTCCATCCTCTGCTCGGCTACCTTGGTTGGCGTCTTCTGGACCCTGTCAGCACATCCAGGCACGTCCTTTCTGCAGTGCCTCTCCCAGCTGGATCTTGCCTCCTCCTCCCATCGCTGTCATCTCCCTCCCCGGCTCTTACATGGCATGCCTTTCCATCCAACTCGGTCCCCCTTCCTAGGTTCCAACCTCAGACCTCTCCCCTTTTTTCCATCCTTTGGGTGATTTCCTCCATTGCCACAGCTGCATCAGCTCCCATCTGTTTGCTGCTGGCTCCCCACACCTATCCCGCGCTCATCGCTCTTGTCCTTCACACTGCGACACCATCACCGTCACCACCACCACCATGCTTGCAGAGCAACTCCGGATAGACGTAGACGTTGCTCAAGTCCACTGTGGTCTGAACTTAGCTTCCTCTCCCCCCTGCCTCTCCTCCCTCCGGTCCCTCATCTGCACTCTTATCTTGCTTATCATTTATGCCCTAAACTGGGAATTGCTCATCGTTTGTGCCCTCAACTGGGAATCCTTTATCCCCTAAACTGGGACTCTTTTTTTTTTTTTATTTTGAGGTGGAGTCTCGCTCTGTCGCCCAGTGGCACGATCTCGGCTCACTGCAACCTCCGCCTCCCGGGTTCAAGCGATTCTTGTGCCTCACCCTCCCAAGTAGCTGGGACCACACAGGCATGCGCCACCATGCCTGGCTAATTTTCGTATTTTTAGTAAAGACGGGGTTGGCTAGGCTGGTCTTGAACCGCTAACCTCAAGTGATCTGCCTGCCTCAGCCTCCTAAAGTGCTGGGACTACAGGTGTGAGCCACCATGCCCAGCCTGGACTCTCTTTTCTGTACCTCCAACCTTCACTTAGTCACCAGGTCCTGTTGATTCCACTTCCTATGTTTCTATCTGAGACTATTTATTTATACTTAAAGTTTATAGATGATTGTGCTCAAACCAGCTTAACTGAAAGTATTTAAGGTTTCATGTAACTTGACCAGAATGTATCACTTGAAGGGAGGTTAATGGTTCTCCTGAAATACAGGTACAGGTATACTTCACTTTATATAGTGGATGAAAGAATGTAGGTAAAGTGAGTTTTTGAAAACATGATTATATTTTAACTACCCACCTACAGGAATCTCCCTATTTAAAGAATATTCTATAGAAATTGCCCTTGTTTAGAAGGCAGTTGTTTTTGAAATGAGAATTCTTCACCTCATACATGTTTTTGCTAGCAATATCCAGATTTTAGTTTTCCGGGAGTAGAGGTAATATTTCTTTATAAATACTAAACCTTTTTAAAAGGAGGGAGTCTTAAATCTGGTATTTTCTTAGACGCTCTTAAAGCACGATTTCAAATAAAGTAGAAAGAATCCGGGCTGGTAAGTATTAAATAGTCACCATGGTAAAGCTTTTAGCTTTTCAGGTCTTGGCACATGCAGTACTAGTAGGTGGCATTTTATTCTCTAGCCTCAGTGCTGGTTGCATTTAGTTTTGTGTTTTTTAAACCTAGAAAGTGGGTAGGTTTATCCTGTTTGCTTTGGGATACAAAAGGTAGGTCCCAAGTCCCTTCTCATCTGCTAAGGAGGTTTTGCACCCTGTGTAGTCTGTTGTGTGCTGGTGTGGTCATGTCCCTGAGGCCACTGTGTCTTCACAGCAGCTAAGCACTGTCAGATCATTTGGGGAGAGAAGCAGTAACAGTCACTGAATGCCTGTGCACCTCTGGGACATCTGTGAGATGAAGGCTTTTTCATATACATGTTTTGCAAGAAATATGACCTTTATTTGCTATTTGGAGCAGAGTGGAATCAGGACTTGAGTAGTTAGTGTAACAGGATTATTTAAAAGAATATTTTAGTACAGAATTTTTAATTCATTTATTTCAAATGGTTTAAAAATAAATTTTAGGTCAGGCTTAAAATCATGCCTGTAATCTTAGCACTTTGGGAGGCCAGAGCAGGAGAATTGCTTGAGGCCAAGAGTTCAAGACCAACCAGGGTAATGTAGCAAGACCCCATCTCTACAAAAAATTAAAAACCAGCCAGGTGCAGTGGCACATTCCAGTGGTCCCAGCTACTCAGGAGGCTGAGGTGGGAGGATTGCTTGAGCCTGGGAGGTCGAGGCTGCAGTGAGCTGTGATAGCTCACTGCACTCCAGCCTGGGGAACAGAGCAAGATCCGGTCTCAAATAAAATAAAAATAATATTTAAAAAAATAATTAGTATGCAGATGTCTTTTCAGAGATATTAAGGGATGAAAAATGAACTGTTACAGATACTCATATGCAGGTAAACGTTAAAACATTGGTCAGTTGAAAAGAATAATTCATTCACTTTTAAAAGATAAAGTCATGACTGAAGTACAATTTAGAACTCAAGGAGATTTCGTAACTCCCCAGAGTATCCAAGTAATAAATGATTCTGGCTGGGTATGGTGGCATGTGCCTGTAGTTCCAGCTACTCAGGAGGCTAAGGTGGGAGGATCCCTTGAGCCCAGGAGTTGTGGGCTGTGGTTTGCTATGTCATTCAGGTGTCTACAATACAGTTTACTTCCTGGGTGCAGGGGACCACCAGATTGTCTAATGAGGGGTGAACCGGCTCAAGTCAGAAACTCCCATTAAAACAGGTTAAAACTCCCGTGCTGATCAGGAGTGGGATTGCACCTGTGAATAGCCACCACACTTCAGCCTGGGCAACATAGTGAAACCCCATCTGTAAAAATCATAAAAAGTAAATGACTCTGTAGGGATTATTAATTATATAATTTTTAAATTTGATTATGAAAATTTTCAGTAACATGAAAAATAAGGAATCCACATATTTTACATTTGCTTTTTTATCCTTTCTTTTTCTTCTTCTTTGTTGTATTTAAAGTGAATCCCAGATAGCATATCATTTCACCAGTACATACTTTAGTGTAAATCTCCTCAAAACGTGGCATTTCCTTCCATAACCACAGTGCCATTATCACACCTCATCTGTTCCTTACTTGGAGGGAGGTTCTTGTTGGATTGAAGCATGTAGTTTGGGGCTAGCTCTGCTCATGGCTCTGGAGGAGCGCACCTGCAGCACCGGAGAGGCACGTGTTCCTGCTGAGGGCTTCCTTTGTCGGCATAGTCAGAAAGGAAAGGATGTATAAAGGGAACTTTAAAACAGTAGTATAACGCTTTGCTTTCTCAGCTAAAAACACCACAGTTTGTTTGTTTGTTTGTTTGTTTGTTTGTTTGTTTGAGACAGAGTCTCGCTCTGTTGCCCAGGCTAGAGTGCAGTGGCGTGATCTCAGCTCACTGCAACCTCCATCTCCTGGGTTCAAGTGATTCTCCTACCTCAGCCTCCTGAGTAGCTGGGATTACAGGCACGCACCACCATACCTGGCTAATTTTTGTATTTTTAGTAGAGACAGGGTTTCACCATATTGGCCAGGCTGGTCTTGAACTCCTGACTTCAGGTGATCTGCCCACCTAGGCCTCCCAAAACTGCACCTGGCCCACAGATTTATAATGAAAAGTAATTTACAGGTTGGGCACAGTGGCTCATGCCTGTAATCCCAGCACTTTGGGAGGCCGAGGCGGGGGAATCACAAGGTCAGGAGATCGAGACCATCTTGGCTAACACGGTGAAACTCTGTCTCTACTAAAGATACAAAAAATTAGCAGGGTGTGGTGGCATGTGCCTGTAGTCCCAGCTACTCAGGAGGCTGAGGCAAGAGAATCGCTTGAACCCAGGAGGCGGAAGTTGCAGTGAGCCAAGATCGCGCCACTGCATTCCAGCCTGGGTGACAGAGCAAGACTCCGTCTCAAAAAAAAAATAATAATAATTTACCGATATTTGGTGTATAAATATCAACTAACACATAGAAGAGGTCTGTTCTTTGATAGAAAAAAGTCAAACTTCCCAAAAGCAAAAAGTCACAATTCATTATTTGCAAGGAGCTTTCTATTTGCCCTAAGAAAACATTTTCCTCTGCTGTCCCTTTAAGGCTGGCTGTAAGCAGAATTCAGCCTCAACAACTGCCCTCCCAGAGCAGCTCTCACTCCTACACAGGGCACAGAGCAGCTTTCTCTTCCTCCCTAAGCAGTTCTCACCTCCTCCCAGAGCAACTCTCTCCCTCCACCCACCCAGAGCAGCTCTCACTTCCTCAAAGAGCAGCTCTCACCTCCTTCCAGGAGCCTGCTGGTTTTGAATCCTGATGCACCTGGTCTTTTAAGATTGTGATTATAGGCACTGCATAGATTTTAGTTTCCCTGCAAAGACTTAAAAGTCACTGTGCTCAATACAAGAAAAGAACATGGTAATCTCTCTCATGTAAGCTCTTGTACTAGAGTTTCTTTTTTTTTTTTTTTTTTTTTTTTTTTTTGAGACGGAGTCTTGCTCTGTTGCCCAGGCTGGAGTGCAGTGGTGCGATCTCGGCTCACTGCAAGCTCCGCCTCCTGGGTTCATGCCATTCTCCTGCCTCAGCCTCCCGAGTAGCTGGGACTACAGGCGCCCGCCACCATGCCCGGCTAATTTTTTGTATTTTTTGTAGAGGCGGGGTTTCACTGTGTTAGCCAGGATGGTCTCGATCTCCTGACCTCGTGATCTGCCCGCCTCAGCCTCCCAAAGTGCTGGGATTACAGGCGTGAGCCACCGTGTCCGGCCTAGAGTGTTTCTTTTTTAAAAAAAAATAAATCTGACCTGGCGCGGTGGCTCACACCTCTAATTCCAGCACTTTGGGAGACCGAGGCGGGAGGATCACTGGAGTCCAGGAGTTCAAGACCAGCAACATGACAAAACCCTGTCTCTACAAAAAATACAAAAATTATCCGGGTGTGGGGGCACACATATAGTCTCAGCTACTGGGGAGGCTGAGGTGGGAGGACTGCTTGAGCCCAGGAGGTTGAGACCACAGTGAGCCATGATTGTGTCACTGCACTCCAGCCTGGATGACAGAGTGAGTCCCTGTCTCAAAAAAAAAAAAAAAAAAAAAAAATCCACAAACCTACTAAAGTAAAATCTCAATGGTCAGCTTCTACACTGGAAACCCTTACTGGTGACTGGTGAGTGTGCTGTAAGTAGGTTAAAGGGCTGGTAAGAGTGGAGCTGCTGCTCATAGCTCCTGAGGACTCAACTTTGCAATGAGATTTAGTCTAAGCCAACGCAAAGAGTGATCCTTTTTCTTCTTTCCCATCAGATCTGCCCATGACTTTTTAGTAGTGTGAATACCACACAAGGGAGGCCCATCTTTATTTTAAGCCCTGAACTAAACATATATAGGAATGGTTCTTGTCAAAATCAGCAAGGAGCACAGGAATCACAGTTAGGAGAATGAATTGCTCAGGAAAGAAGTTGGGAGACAGCCTCCCACCCTTCAGGGCTATCTTTATCCAATGATTGGTACTGGTTCGTTTTTAGTTATTTCTTTTTGCGTGTATTTGAGAAATTCTGTTGAGCACTTTGTGGAATAAAATATGTTTCTTTAGCAGAAACAGGTGCAGCTACTATGTTTGTACTTTTTCATTTTGTCAGTGTTTTGGTTGATTGACATGACAGTTAAGATGTCTAGAAATTAAATCGCCCTTTGTTATCTCTGGACTCAGGCGATGAATCACCAAATAGAGCACTCAGTATTGATGAATTATAAAATACGCTAAATAAAAATCTTTCTTGAGATTTGCCTTGAATAAGCAAGGCGCAGTGGCTCATGCCTGTAATCTCAGCACTTTGGGAGGCTGAGGGGGTGGATCACCTGAGGTCAGGAGTTCAAGACCAGCCCAGCCAACGTGGTGAAACCCCGTATCTATTAAAATACAAAATTACCCAGGCACGATGGTGCACGGCTGTAATCCCAGCTAGTCGGGAGGCTGAGGTAGGAGAATTGCTTGAACCCGAAGGCAGAGGTTACAGTGAGCCGAGATCACACCACTGCACTCCAGCCCAGGTGACAAGAGTGAAACTCTATCTAAAAAAAATATTAGGTTAAGAATAAAAGATGAGAGGAATTTATTAATATACACTGGCTCTTGTCACATATACCTTCTTAAAGTCAGTTTTTTGTTAATGCAACGTTAGATTTTCTTCATATATCTTTATCAATACCACAGCATGATGATGGCCTTGGTTTTGACACAGGGATCTTGCCTAAATGCCAGCGTTTAGCCAGATGGTGAACTACAAAATTGATCTTCCTGGGGTTCCACATGGCACTGCTGCTCTACAGCCCCTGACCTTGGCATTGAATATGTCCTTATATGTGTTAGGAGGGGTGAGATGTATTGTTTCACATGTGTTCACCACCAGGACAAAGGCTCGCTCCTTCTGGTCAGGCCTCTCTGGGCCCTCTTCTCAGCTGGACCTCAATCTTGGCCTCTAAATACTGCAGACTCTCGGACATAAATTATTTCATCCACACCATCTTCCCTTCCCACACACACACCCTGGAGCAAACACTGGCACCGTTTCTAACAACTCAAGGCTGTGTCCCGAGGATGACTGCTCCAGCTCTCTTACGTTCCTGCCTGAGAGCCTGCCAAGAGAATCAACTGTTTGATAGGGCCCATCTCCCAGGCTTTGTGAGAGAGTAGGGGCCTAATTTTGTTAAGCTCCAGTTAGTAAAGCCAGAGAGCCTAATCGCGTTGACAGCCCCCTTCCTGCTTTTCAGTTATTTCTGCTTCCCTGAATACTGCCTATGCCTCCCTCCTCCTCCCTCATTCTCCCTACTGCAGCAGTTATTATGGATTAAATTTTGTCCTTCCTGTATTAACTCAGGTCCAGCTTGGCTTGTCTTTGGCACCGGTCACAAGTGCTGTTGGGTCTGCTTGCACCACTATTCCCCAGCTGCCACTGGTAGCACAGATCAGCAAATCCTTTCCTCTCAGCTCATTTGTTGAGAAGTTTATCAGTAGCCATGGGAAGAAATTACTATTTTCATCATGTTTAGAAATATATTTCAGTGTGTTTTGAAGAGTTGTAAAATTTTGAAATGGGAAAGGATTTCAGGCTGACACTTGGGAGGCAGAATGATGAACCTTACTATGGCACTAGGACTCAAAGTAGGATGAGCCCCACTAGCTGACCCCCAGGCCCGATTCTTTGCAGAGGATAGGATGTTCCCCCAACAGGCTCTGACTACACACCAACAGGCCAAGCAGATTCCAGCATCACTCGCGGTCTTCTGATCAAAGTACACATGCACCTTCCCAGGCCTCTTGGTGAGTGGCCACCCTGGGCAGTTATGCCTTACTTCAAAGAGCCGATATAGGGCTATATTCCTGAAGTGTGCCTTTCTTCCTCATTCAATGTATATTTAAATGTATTTTTAATGGTATATTCACATGGTATAAAATACTAAATGTTCCACAGGACATTTGATGAAGAGGCCCCTCCTTCTATCCCCAAGCTGACCAGAGGTAATGTGTTTTCAGTTACTTGTGTACCGTTCTGGAGATACTCCAATTAAATGGTTGGTTTTTTTTTTTTTTAATGGAGTTTTGCTCTTGTCCCCCAGGCTCCTAGAGTGCAATGGCGCTATCTCTGCTCACTGCAACCTCCACCTCCTGGGCTCAAGCAATTCTTCTGCCTCAGCCTCCCAACCAAGTAGTTGGGATTACAGGCATCCACCACCATCCTCGGCTTGTTTGTTTGTTTGTTTTTTGAGATGGAGTCTCACTCTGTCACCAGACTGGAATGCAGTGGCGCAATCTTGGCTCACTGCAACCTCCGCCTCCTGGGTTCAAGCGATTCTTCTGCCTCAGCCTCCCAAATAGCTGGGACTACAGGCGTGCACCACCAAGCCCAGCTAACTTTTGTATTTTTAGTAGAGACTGGTTTTCACCGTGTTGGTCAGGATGGTCTCGATCTCCTGACCTTGTGATCTGCCCGCCTCGGCCTCCCAAAGTGCTGGGATTATAGACGTGAGCCACCGCACCCAGCCAATTTTTGCATTTTTAGTAGAGATGGGGTTTCACCATGTTGACCGGGCTGGTTTTGAACTCCTGACCTCAAATGATCTGCCCGTCTTGGCCTCCCAAAGTCCTGGGATTACAGGCATGAGCTACCATGCCTGGCCGTAAATGCATTTTTATATTGGTTCTGTAGTCAGACTATTCTCTACTCCTAGAAATTGATATATGGGTATGTCTTAGAAGGGTGAATAAACTTAAAAATGGAGCCTGAAAGATTTGGAGAAGAATATTCTGGTAATAGGAATCATTTAACATTAAATTTGAGGCCTGAGGCAGAATATCTTCTTCTCCGAAAATCTTTAGACATAGGAGAGTCTCTCATCTTAATAGGTTAGTTTACAAGTGGTCTTTTCTTCAGTGAAGAGATGAGATGGCTTCCAAATTACATGTTTAGCCTGAAGATACAGATTTAGGAGTGATTGTTATAGTCAACTGTGAAATTACATTTCATCTTTTAAAAAAAAAAACAGGAAATATTCTGTTAATCAATTGAGCAGTTCTGTCATTTACAACTGTCTGATTTCAGTGACTGTTTATTTAGTTGCAAAATATTCAAGTCTGGCCTTGAAGCACATCTGAAGGCCAGTATTCTGAAACCCAACAGGGAGGTCTTAAAAAATTTTTTGGCCGGGTGCGGTGGCTCACGCCTGTAATCCCAGCACTTTGGGGGGCCAGGGTGGGCGGATCACAAGGTCAGGAGATTGAGACCATCCTGGCTAACACGGTGAAACCCCGTCTCTACTAAAAAATACAAAAAATTAGCCTGGCGTGGTGGCGCAAGCCTGTAGTCCCAGCTACTCGGGAGGCTGAGGCAGGAGAATGGCATGAACCTGGGAGGCAGAGGTTGCAGTGAGCCAAGATTGCACCACTGTACTCCAGCCTGGGCGACAGAGCAAGACTCTGTCTCAAAAAAAAAAAAAAAAAAAAAAAAAAATTTTTTTTTTTTTTTTTTTTAACTTTTGCCGCATCTCAGAACAAAAAGAGTTCCTTCCAAAGAAAAGGAGGGGCATCATGGCTATTTTTTCATTTCTCTATCTGCAGCTACACATGCGTGCCACCAGAGGTGCTAAGGTTACTAGGAGGGATTTGCAATCAGTTTTTTAATGTATTCCCCCAGCCTTCAGTCATAAAAGCAAATAAGTGGGAAAAAGTCACCTCCTTCAGGAACTAGTTCCAATACTACAAATTAAACTCTTACAAAAGAGTGAACATTTTTGGAAGCATGTATTATTGAAGTTGACATTTCCCAACATGGTTTTATTCAACAATTTAGATGTGTAGGGTCCAAAGACAAAGGTACTGATGAGATACTGTGGCTTCCAAAATAGAAATCTTTTGAATGATTTTATATCCTGTCTTCTCCTCCTTTGGTTGTGGCTTGGTTTATTTTAAACTATTGATAATAATTGTGTTTATTTTTAAATAATTGCACCTAAAAATAGTTTAGAATGGAGTACATTGAAATAAAGAGATTATATGTGGATATCATTATTGCATTGCTTTGTGTGTATGTGTGTGTGTCAGAGTCTCGCTCAGTCACCCAGGGTGGAGTGCATTGGAGCAATCATGGCTCACTGCAGCCTCCAACTCCTGGGCTCCAGTGATCCTCCCGCCTCAGCCTCCCCAGGAGCTAGGACTACAGGTGCTCACCACCATGGCCTGATACATCTTTTTGTTTTTTTTAGAGGACAGGGTCTCACCTTGTTGACCAGGCTGGTTTCAAACTCCTGGCTTCAAGTGATCCTCCCATCTCAGGTTCTCAAAGTGCTGGGATTACAGGTGTGAGCCGTGGTGCCTGGCCGTGTTGCTATTAGAAACTGCCCTGCAGTGAGTATATACAAGGCTGCAAAGTAAACCAAACCCAGCGAGGCAGCCATTGAATTAGTATGACTTGACCTGTATGTGTCTACTGCTTATTTGGTCCTGGTATATGCATTACAGAGGGAGCATTGGCCCTGCCCATACCTGAAGCCTACAGTTCGTCACAGGAAACAGCAGGAAAATATGGGACAGAAATGTACATGATTCATCCTTGAAAGTGTTTTTGGGGGGTAGTTTTATGGGAGGATTTGAGAATTGGTTTATAAAGAAGAATGGAAGGAGATTGCTCCTTCATTTGTAGGAAAACTTGGGCAAAGATTTGGACAGAAATGTATTTATATTCATTGAGTCACTGAGTGAATGAGAACCTGGGAGTGCAGACCTGCCCTTGAGATGCTTTTGGTTTACTGGGAGACAGGCACGCAAAACCAGAACCAAGTTCAGAATGCTGTGGGGGCCGTGGTTAGAGCAAGATTAATTCTGTGTGGTGGGGCCCAGAAGCCTTCACACATGATGTCTGAGCACCTGCCATGAACCAGCTGATGTACTAGACATTGGAGATAAAGCACAAGCCTCAGTCCTTGCTTGATGGGGTCTGGTTGTGTGTGTGTTGCTCAGGAAAGGATGCAGTCATGCGTTTCATCTTAGACATGTTGACACTGAGGGCCTTTTGCACATCTTGGGGAGATGGCAGGAATGCAGTTGGATGTGAGAGTCTGGGGCTCAGGACAGAGGCCTGGGCAGGGAGTCAGCTATGAATGGGATCCTTGAGGCTACAGGCATGATTGTGGTTTCCTAGAGAGAAGAGGGCCTAGAGCCAAGCCTGGGGAGCACTAGCACGGAGAATTCTACAAACAGGAGCACCAGCCCACTTAGAACACATTCATTACTTGACCAACATTAGGGAGCAGAAGCAGCAGAGATTGATGCACTTGCCATATGTGTATTCGTTATTATTAGGCTCTCAATCTTGTTCTTCTGAAGTCCTTTGCTCACATAAGCTTTATCCCATTAAAAGTGATTAGGCATGAAAAGAACTTGTAATGGAAGAGATTTTTAAAAATCTGATTTTATGTTGTATCACTGTTCTTCAGTAATCTGTGACATACTTGTTCCAAAACAGAGTAACTTCTTCCATCATTGCTTGATAATTAAACTGTCAGTGCTGCGTTTCCCATTTTTTCCAATCTTAATAGTGTTTTTGTCTTCCTATGGGAACTGTAGTTGTAATTCATTAATGGTAGTGGATTTGGGGCCTGCCCTTTTTGTTCTGTTTTTCTTTAGTGTGATACTAAACTCTGATAACTTAATCAGTCCTTATTCAGGAATTATATGTATGTTCTTTCATCTGTCCTTTCTTCTCTAAAATGGAAAAATGAGTATTAATTCAAAAGACCTTTCAATGCAGAGTCATTTCCTCCCTTTTGCAAATACTCCTGTGTGTTGTACATCATGACAGGGCCTAGGGAGGTACTGTTGAGCAAAGCTGATGTGGTTCAGGTCTCAGCTTGGGCTGCTATAATAAAATACCACAGACCAAGGGGCTTAAACAACAGACATTGAGTTCTCACAATTCTGGAGGCTGGCCAGCCTCAGATCAAAGTGCCAGCCAATTTGGTTCCTGGTGGAGGCTGACTCCTGGCTTGCGTTCTCCCTGGGTCCTCACATGGCCTTTCCTCAGTGCTTGGGTGTAGCGAGAGTGCTTGCAAGCTGGGGTCTCTCATACTCTTCTTATATGGGCGCTAATCCTATCGTGGGCGCCCCACCCTCACGACCTTGTCTAAACTGAATCATCCCCCAAAGACCTTACCTCCAAATACCATCAACATAAATTGGGGAGGCGGGGAGCTCATAAACATTCAGTCCATAATAGTCCATCGCCTCAAAAGTTTATAGTGTAACTAGGGGTCAGACAGAAATCACACAATCCCACAGTAAAGGGATGAGAATAGTGATAAGTGTGGCAATGGGTACAGCTTAGTTAAAGTTATAAGAAGTCATGTTTCATATTTATTGTTATTGAAAATTGCTCACCAAGTACATTAAACATCTGCCTCTTCCAGGATTTCAGCAGGTCCGTGACCCATGCTCCGGTGTCTTGACCCTACGCCTGTGTCACATGAAGGCTTTGTAGACATGCTATCAGATAGTAATTTTTTTTTTGACAGCTAAAATTTCACCTTTTTCTAAAATGAATTTCATGGTGTTCCTAGTAGTTATGTCTTTCCTGAAAACAGCATATAGTAATGAATTAATTGCTGCGTCTGGAGGCAAATTGTTTTAGCCTTTTTTAGTATTCATTCATTAAAATATAGATCATATTTAAAGGAATATTTGATGAACAATTTATTCTAAAATAACTGAATTCTGTGAACTTTCTGCAGGCAGTCTCTTAGTCATCAGTATTTATATCCTAAAATTGCCTTTTGCTTGTCACTGACTTTAGTGCATTCGTTTAGCAATAAATATTTACTGAGTGCCTGCATTGTACACAAAGCTCTGTTAGGTGCCACATAGCTATGGACTGTCTCTCCCCCAAGGAGCTTCACATTAAAATCTCAAGCAAAAAGAAGCAAAAATTGAAAAAGCCTTAACCAGCTCTCCCTTTGGGTAAATTCTAGCCTTTCTAGTCAGACAGCCTTGGCTTGATCACTTAATGCCTTTGTCAGCTTACTTGGCCTCTCTTAAGTTGCTCGTGTGTTTGTAAATTGGAGATAACTTGCATGATTGTTGCAATGAGATGCTGACGGATAGACAGATCCCATTAGACACAAAAGATGTAAAGTTTTTAATGGCAACCAATGCAGAAACTGCAGAGACCATCACACAAAGCAGAACATAATGCAATGTGATGCACCTCGGTGGAGGTCCTGCTGCCCAGGACCCAAGATTCCTCTCAGGATGTCCCACTGGTGGCACCACTAGTGTTGTTGGTTGGTTGGTGGCGGCAGGGGGGATGTTCAGCAGCTGTGAGGTGCTCCTTTGCTGCTGTCATGGAGGGGCGCATTCAGCCTTCCTCTATCCAGATTGTTCTTTAGCTCTGGCCATGTACCTGTCTGTATTACCCAGCATGCTCCTGAGTATGTGCTCTGAGATGGGTGAGGCCAAGGAAGGTGTCTGAGGAGCAGCCCTCAGCACACTGTGGTAGCAAAAGCCCACCTGGGCCACACCAGCAAAACTAGCGCCTAACTCATGGTTTTGACAATTAATGAGGTAGAGCTTTCAGCATAGTGTTTAGTGCAAAGTAAGTACTTAATATTTTAATACCATGACTACATCCTTAAATTAATTATAAATTAATACATTAATACTATTATTATTCTCAGTGAAGTAAAACATTCAACATTGGAAATAAAACATTGTTTCAGGAGCATCTTCTTTTCCAAATATGGTTATATAACATGCTTACATAACCCAATGTATTTTCTCTTTGGTCAAACATAAACCTAAGCTTTTTCTTCTAAATTTGAGAAAATAATAACAACAAATCTCTGCTGCTTCTTCGTTTTCCAGAAAAGTAAATGAATATTTTCCTAACTCCTCTCCTCCAATCAAAAATACAAAGCAAAACCCCTGCAAATAGTATAACAGAGATTTTGCTGGTATTATTTGAAAACGTTCATGCAATATAATATACTCATTCTGCTGTTAGTCACATTTCAGTATTAAAGGACTCAAATTGTTGCAGGAATAGCCAGCAGAGGTTCTACTTAACATTTTGTGTCACTGTGCTGTTGTTACTTAACTAGCTATTTTTAGTTCTAAATGTATATTGTCTTCCTAAAACAAATCGAGGCAACAAGGTGTGCCAGAAACTGGCCCTTGCTGCCACTTGGTCAGAGGTCCCCATCCTGGATTGCAGGTGCTGTTTGGCACGGCCGATGGGCAGGTGATTGTCATGGATTGCCACGGCAGAATGCTGGCCCACGTCCTCTTGCACGAGTCAGACGGTGTCCTCGGCATGTCCTGGAACTACCCGATCTTCCTGGTGGAGGACAGCAGCGAGAGCGACACGGACTCAGATGACTACGCCCCTCCCCAAGGTACTCATTGGCCCTACTTTCCTTGTCACTGACCAGAAGGACAAGGAAGGGCATCGGAGCAGAGTAGACTGATGTGGAGGAGGGAGGGTGAAGGGCCGCCACACCTACGGCACCCGGGCTTCCTGGGAAGAGTTATCAAGCTGAAATGCAAGGTAGGGCTGGCCTCATCTAGATGTGACTGTCTCCCCGCTGTTGTCCCTTTTCTCAGAATCACTGGTCGAATTGATTACACTTAATTCGCTTAGCTTTTCCTAGATATAAAGTGAGACACATGGCTCTTCCTGTGTCCCTGAGGTATTGTGGGGCTTAGCTGCTTAGTGACAATAAAGAAAGCTAAAGATGAAAAATGCTGTGCTATTATTATAACTTAATATGTGATATATCCAAATCCCCAATGTTATTAAAGCCCGCGGCTTTAGGTGCATGAGAAAAGGATTTGTTTTGCCATAATGAAGGCCAGCACCTTGGGCAGATAACTCTACATTTCTGTCTGTCCTCTTTATTTCAGGCAGAAGCTCTCCTCCTCCTCAGGTCTAAAAGACCTACTGCCTCTCTGTATACTCCAGTTGGTGTTGAGTACTCTTGGTGGGGATGACCTCAAATTCCAGCCACCTTAACCTCTAGCAGGTCCCCAGAATCAGTGTGCAGCACTGGCCCACTCAGTTGGCTCTTCACCAGCATCCCATCCCCTGCACCCATCTCTTTTAAAAAAATTGAGATACAATAATTGTACATATTCATGAGCTACATTGTGATATTTCGATACACATAATGTATAGTGATCAGATCATTTTAGTTAACATATTCATCATCTCAAACATTTATCATTTCTTTGTGTTGGGAACGTTCAATATCCTCGTTCTAGGTATTTGAAACTATATAATATGATAATATGTTATTGTTAACATGTCATCCTCCATGGTATGGAACACTAGAATTTAGCCTTCCTGCCTAGCTGTAACCATCTCGTTTTGGGGAATGGGACTGGCTTCTTGATTAGAAGTGGTCACACTGCCGCAGGCTTCTATCCTTAGCCTAGCACAGCTGTGCTTACACTGCTGTGTGCCCTTCATAGTCAAAGGGCACAGTGGGTGCTTTCTAACCTTTCCTGCCATTGTGGGGCATGTCGTCCTGTGAAGGGCTGTTCCGGGGGAAATTAGAGAAATTGTCTGCCTCCGTTAGAACCTGCAATATTCTCGTGTTGTGTTGTCTTCTCTTTCCTGTCACAGTGTGTTATGCTTCCCAGCAGCAGACACGTATGTGTGTACACACATACTCATTCATTTATTCATTTTAGGAGAAGGCATTCACACATGAAAAACAATTGAGATTAATGGTAGTGTTTTAGGACCAGTGGCTTGGGGGCTTTTTATGGGTATTCCTAGCACCCATAAAGCAATTTAGGAATTAACCATCCCCTTTCCTAATAGGATACCAGCCTTGAGAGAAGTGTTGGTCATATTTCTACAGCCTCATAATAGTAAAGTCAGTGTCTTCATCACATGGACTCAGCATACTCTTAGAACTCCTCTTTAGTGGGTCAAATCTAGATTTACTTGCCCCCATTTTATTATTGAAAAAAAAAAAAGAAAACAAGGGACTGGGCACGGTGGCTCAGGCCTGTAATCCTAGCACTTTGGGAGGCCGAGGCGGGTGGATCATGAGGTCAGGAGATCGAGACCATCCTGGCTAACACGCTGAAATCCCGTCTCTACTAAAAATACAAAAGAAAAAAAAAATTAGCCAAGCATGGTGGTGGGCACCTGTAATCCCAGCTACTCCGGAGGCTGAGGCAGGAGAATGGCTTGAACCCGGGAGGCGGAGCCTGCAGTGAGCCAAGATCGCGCCACTGCATTCCAGCCTGGGCAACAGAGCAAGTCTCCGTTTCAAAAAAAGAAAAAGGAAAAAACAGAAAAGAAAAGAAAGGAAAAAAAAACAGGACTCAGAGACCAAGTTTATAAAGCAAGTCCAGAGTAAATCCAAGAACAGAATTCAGTCCCTGGTTGCTCCTCCAGGCAGTTGCCCTTCTCAGAAGCAGGGGGGGCAGTTTAGAGGATGACAGGTGTTCACCTTTCACGTGCAACAGGGTTCTTCTTAGTGGCCTAGGGAATTTGAGTGTGGAGGTCGGTATAGTGCAGTGTCATGATGTAAAGCAAAGCAATAACTGGGCTTCCTCTGCAGACAACTGGCAGGTAGGCCCACCTCGATGGCTGCTAAGATGAGCCCAGTGTGGCTGTGAAGCCTACAGGAGCCTTCTGAAAACGTTGCTCTATCTAGGCATCTAGGAAGGGCTTACTTTTGCTTTTTCAAACACCCTGTGAAAGACCAAGTCCATGGTCCATCATGGCCCCTTCCTTAATGTCTGCATGAGGCTCCAGAGCAGGGTTTTCCTTATGCCGGCTGTGCTCCGCAGGTGCAGCAAGCCTCTATGAGCCACATTTAGCCCAACCTTCTCTCCAAATCTGGGCTGGCCTCTGTGGCTGCTTATTTCCTGTAACATTCAATGAAAGAGGATTTAGAAAGAGGATTTGGAACTTGAAAAGCAACTTTTTTCTCTCTTAGACCAGAATTAAGAAAATGTTTTTATCCCTCCTCCTACCATCCTTGGATGTTGTATGACATTAAAATAATTTATGTCTATATGTCATTAGAACCGTGTAACACATTAACATCAAGTTAGTAAACTTTCACACATATTCTCACCACTCACCAATTGCCCCCAGGGCTATGTCCCTAGTGTCCTGCTTCTTACTCACAAATTCTCTGTTAGTGCCCACTGATGGCCCTTGTGTAGTTCCTGAATGATATAGAATGTTTCATTCAGGTAGCATCCCAATCCAGAGTAGGATCTGCATTGTCAGGCAATTTCTAAGGCACCATGCAAGATTTCAGCTTTGGGAACCTGGATTTGGGTGGTGTGCTTCCCTCCTTTTCACTTGGCACTTGTGTTCCTGCAGATGGTCCGGCAGCATATCCCATCCCAGTGCAGAACATCAAGCCTCTGCTCACCGTCAGCTTCACCTCGGGAGACATCAGCTTAATGAACAACTACGATGACTTGTCTCCCACGGTCATCCGCTCAGGGCTGAAAGGTACAGAATGCTGCACACACCCCAAACCTGCAGACCGGGCCTGTGTGTGCTTGCCTCAAGGCCGGTCTTGTACACTCTGTGCTTACTGATTCCTGTCCTCTGTGGTGACACCTTCTGGGCTTCATGGAGTCTGTTAACTAAAGCCACTCCCTCTTCACTCCTTTGCTTATCTGATAAGTCCATACCTAGTCTTATCTCAAAGGGAGATTCCTGACATTCAGTCTTTGTCTTAGCCTGCTCTTTTCCTCACTATGACAAGAATGATCCTCTCTCAGGTGTACAGGTATGTTTGCATCTGGCTTACGCATGTCTGCACAATAAACGGACTGCAGCACCTGCCATCCCTAAGGCAGCAGATGGTGCACAAGACATCATTTACACAGAAGCCCCTGTAATTTTAAGAATCTGACAGTCTTATTAAGGAACTGATCATCACTGTGCGATAAAGTTACCTTGAAAGACTTGTGGAGGTTCTGCAATTACTAGACTGAGGCATTGTTGTGAAGGGCAGCAGTCAAGTGCTGATACCTTCCTGATAGATATTATGAGTGTTGTTATCTCAAAAGAAAATCAGTGGGCATAGGCATTTGGAGTGTTGTGAATTTTGCAGTTCAAGAGTACTGTTGATGTTGTTGACCCCATTGATGTGAGTTCTATGGAAAAACAATCTGTCTCTTCAGGGTTGAATGGTACAAGGTAAAAAGGTTTTAAAATTCAATACCTGGGCTGCCTCTGACCCTTGATGTTTAAGGGACCTCCTGTAATCTGAATGAGGATATAGGAGACAAGCCAGGAACTTTGGTGTAACTCGCTGCTGTCATTCAAAACTGGCCATTGGTCTAGGGAGTCATTACCGTGCGCTACTGCTGCTTGCCTGAATTATTCAGCAGTCACAGGGATGTAAAGAATCAAGTCTAGGCTGGGTGCGGTGGCTCATGCCTGTAATCCCGGCACTTTGGGAGGCCAAGGCAGGTGGATCACAAGGTCAGCAGTTCGAGACCAGCCTGGCAAACATGGTGAAACCCCATCTCTACTAAAAATACAAAAATTAGCTAAACACAAAAAATTAGCCGGGCGTGGTGGCGGGCGCCTGTAGTCCCAGCTACTCGGGAGGCTGAGGCAGGAGAATGGCATGAACCCGAGAGGCAGAGCTTGCAGTAAGCCGAGATCACGCCACTGCACTCCAGCCTGGGTGACAGAGCGAGACTCTGTCTCACAAAAAAAAAAAAAAAAAAAAAAAAGCCGGGCACGGTAGCTCACGCCTGTAATCCCAGCACTTTGGGAGGCCGAGGCGGGCAGATCACGAGGTCAGGAGTTCAAGATCAGCCTGGCCAACATCGTGAAACCTCGTCTGTATTAAAAATACACAAATTAGCTGGGCGTGGTAGCAGGTGCCTGTAATCCCAGCTACTCGGGAGGCTGAGGCAGGAGAATTGCTTGAACCTGGGAGGCGGAGGTTACAGTGAGCTGAGATCAAGCCACTGCACTCTAGCCTGGATGACAGAGCAGGACTCTGTCTCGGAAAAAAAAAAAAAAAAGCCAGGTGTGGTGGCGTGTGCCTATAGTCCCAGCTACTTGGGAGGCTGAGGCAGGAGAATCGCTTGAACCTGGGAGGCGGAGGTTGCAGTGAGCCAAGACCGCACCACTGCATTCCGGCCTGGGCAACAGAGGGAGACTCCGTCTCAAAAAAAAAAAGAATCAAGTCTATATACTTAACTGTTGGTTGGCAAGAATCATACCTGCCTCTGCACCGCCCCCCCCCAAGTAATTACTCTATTTTTAAACTATAGAATATTTTTAGAAACATATTACATACCCTCTTTTGGGCATCCCAATCTACTGTCTCAGGACTGTAATTATAAGGAATTACTTAGGCTGTAAAGTCCTGAGGGACATGAATGACGTTGAAGTCCTTTTTATCACACATAGGCCCTGGTAGGAGTTGAGTACATATTTTTTGTGGTGATGATGAACTTAAATTCCTGTGCTTGTCTGTAAATTTTTTTCTGAATGTTCTGTCTTTCATGGAGCTAAAACACAGGATGATCAACATTAATTCCTAATGTATTTATAATCCATGCTTAACTTTTTTCTTCAAAATTCTATTTTTAAACCTTTAAACCAAGTTTATTAATTTTTTGAGAACCTGCCTCTAGTTCAGGAATCCAGAACTTGGTTTCTCTACCAAATATCTGGTGAAGGCTGAACATAATATAATTACCACTCAGTTCCTTTTTATTCTTTACGGGGGAATTTTTCCAGTTTTTTACCACCCTGCTTATGGAAACTTTATTTTTTATGCCTTGAATATGCCCAAGGTATTGGAGCAACAGTTCTCTCTTTTTTTTTTTTTTGAGATGGAGTTTTGCTCTTGTTGCCCAGGCTGGAGTGCGGTGGCACGATCTTGGCTCACTGAGTCTTCTGCCTCCCAGTTTCAAGTGATTCTCCTGTCTCAGCCTCCCTAGTAGCTGGGATTACAGGCGCATGCCACCACGCCTGGCTAATTTTGGTATTTTTGGTAGAGATGGGGTTTCATCGTATTGGTCAGGCTGGTCTCGAACTTCTGACCTCAGGTGATCCACCCGCCTGGGCCTCCCGAAGTGCTGGGATTACAGGCGTGAGCCACCATACCCATCCTGGAGCAGCACTTCTAACGTTTTGCAACCATATGTGCAATATAGGTAGAAGGATATGTTAGGTAAGTTGGGGAGGTGACCCAAAGTAGCCCTCCCAAATGTGAAATTTTTTTCCTTGAGTTTTCTTCTAAAAATACAGGCAAATTTAACATTTTTTTTTTTTTTTTTTTTTTTTTTTTTTGAGACGGAGTCTCGCTCTGTTGCCCAGGCCGGACTGCGGACTGCAATGGCGCAATCTCGGCTCACTGCAAGCTCCGCTTCCTGGGTTCACGCCATTCTCCTGCCTCAGCCTCCCGAGTAGCTGGGACTACAGGCGCCCGCCACCGCGCCCGGCTAATTTTTTGTATTTTTAGTAGAGACGGGGTTTCACCTTGTTAGCCAGGATGGTCTCGATCTCCTGACCTCGTGATCCACCCGCCTCGGCCTCCCAAAGTGCTGGGATTACAGGCGTGAGCCACCGCGCCCGGCCAAATTTAACATTTTAATTATTACCTAACTAGATATCTAAATCTAACCTAAAAATGTTTTCAGTTATTTACAGGATGCTTTCAGCGGGGTACGGTGGCTCACGCCTGTAATCCCAGCACTTTGGGAGGCTGAGGCAGGTGAATCACCTGAGGTCAGGAGTTCGAGACCAGCCTGGCCAACATGGCCAAACCTTGTCTCTACTGAAAGTACAAAAATTAGCCAGGCGTGGTGGTGCATGCCTGTAATCCCAGCTACTTGGGAGGCTGAGGCAGGAGAATCACTTGAACCCGGGAGGCAGAGGTTGCAATGAGCTGAGATTGCGCCATTGCACTCTAGCCTGGGTAACAGAGCAAGACTCCGTCTCAAAAAAAAAAAAAAAATTATTTGCAGGATGCTTTTGTTCTGTGTCTTCCTAGTTTCAGAAAGTTAGATTAAATCGAAATGAGCTGGTGCCATCAAGTAGGTGCTGTAAGGACAGAGAAAAAGCTTCCCTTCTGTCCTCTCTGAAGGTTCCCTGAAATGACTGACAGTAGACAGATTAACAGGAGAAAAGGCATAGAAATGTATTAATGTGAATAAGCATAGGACCCACATAAAATAAGAGACTCAAAGAAAGGCCACATGGTTGAAGTTTTTATACCCTTTCCATGGAAAGGAGGGAAATGGGGAGGTGGGTAGGCAATCATGATTAGTAGTAAGTGATTTCTAGGGGAAATGAATGGATCCAGGAGGTAGACGTTACCTTGTTAATAATTCTTAGGAACTGAACAGGACTTGTAAGTTATGGGAAGGTGAGGGGTAGAACTCTTACTGTGACCAAAGGTTTCGACAACTTTTATTCTCTTCTCTGGTGGTTAAGTCTTTCCTGGTTATTTGGGGAAAGCAGGAGATCAGAAAGTCCCTGGCTCTGAAGCAGCTTCTAAGGCATGCTTGTCCAGCTTGCAGCCTGTGGGCCACATGCAGCCCAGGACAGCTTTGAATGTGGCCCAACACAAATTTGTAAACTTTCTGAAAACATTATGAGATTTTTTGTTTGTTTAAGCTCATCAGCTCTTGTTAGTATTCATGTATTTATGTGGCCCAAGACAATTCTTCTTCTTCCAGTGTGGCCCAAGGAAGCCAAAAGATTGGACACCTCTGTTCTAAGGCCTTCCAGTTGTCTTTAATTCAAAATGCTCAGGCCGGGCACGATGGCTCACGCCTGTAATCCCAGCACTTTGGGAGGCTGCGGTGGGTGTATCACAAGGTCAGGAGTTCGAGACTAGCCTGGCCAATATGGTGAAACCTCATCTCTACTAAAAAACAACAAAAATTAGCCAGGCATGGTGGCGTGTGCGTGTAATCCCAGCTACGTGGGAGGCCGAGGTGGGAGAATTGCTTGAACCTGGGAGGTGGAGGTTACAGTGAGCTGAGATCACGCCACTGCACTCCAGCCTGGGCGACAGAGCAAGACTCCATCTCAAAAAAAAAAAAAAAAATGTTCAGTGTACCAAAACACCATACTTGGGATCTCGTTCTCTGTGCCCCGACAGTGCTATATGTAGGCAATTTACCTTTTCTCTCTTGGGATCAGAATGTTTTAAGGACTTAGCCTTTACATGTGGTATGAATAGCAATCATTTTTGTTTTGTAACTTATTTTTTTATCCACTATCTTACGGGCTATGTTGGTAAATACTGGGATGAGACAACCAGAATACTGTTGGAGACGGCACATGGCAATGTTTTTAGCCTGGGGTCATCTGTTCTATTACAGACAGGTCAGCCACTTGTCTCATAGAGGAAATTAAAAAGGTCTCCGATCCACTTGGTTTTTCTCTATTACTGTCTCAGAGGAACATCACTAAAGAACTTTGGCAGCGAAGGAAGGTAACTCGCACTATTGTTTTAGTGTATCACCAGCACTGGAATTTACGACCTGTGCAAAAGAACCTAGAATTCCACATAGCTCTTGGTCCCTGCCCAGGCCTCTTCTGCATCAGCCAGCACACTTCATTTTCACTGCAGATGTGTCTGTGGGCTCAAAGGCCGGGTTCTGGGGAGGGTTAGGCTCTGATTTTGCTTGGCCGTGGTTTGCTGAGGAAGTTCTGCCTTCTTCAGATTCTCTTCCTTCAGAACAGGGACTTCTCTTCATCACGCAATAAGCAGGGAATTGATTCACTTTGCTTGGGGTTTTTACCCATTGTTATGACTTCTACTCTTTTCCTGAGTAGAAATAATTCAATCAGGAGTTCAGGAATTTTCTGCCCAAGCCAGTTCATCCCTCAGTGGCAAAGCAGACTCCCAGAGGCACTCATTTCATCCCACACTTGCCTTGAAATTAAAAGCTCCAACCCCTGAGCTTTGTTTGTGTTTTTTGTTTTGCAGAATTTTCTCTTTTTGTCATTTCATTAAGCACACTGAAAAAATGAGGAGGGAATTTTTGAGGCAGGTGGTTTCAGTCATTGATGCCATCTGCTCCTGTGGGCAGACCTGATAAGATTTGCCCACGTCGTCCTCATTGAGTACGTGCCCCTTTTTTTCAGTCCTTGCAGTGAAACATACTTCTTAAAGGAAAAAAAAATGTACCTGTTATTTTATCATCACACACTTTGCTAATTAATTAGTTGCTCTTTCCTCCACCCCCCACTGCTCCACATGCACGTGTGTATGCACATACACAACATGCATGTCTAATGACTAATAAAGAGGTGAATCATGCACATGGTAATCTAAGGGACAAAGAACTGGATAACTTCAGACTCCAAACAGTAGCTGCAATATATATGGTGCTTGATAAGCACTCCTTTCTTTTTCTGTTAAAATTTAGCTGCCTCTTTTTGACCCAGTAATACCACACAAAGGGCTTCTTGTTAATACAAAAGAACTAAATTTTCACTGACTTCATATAACCTTCCAGACTTTTACCAAAAAGGATCCATAAGATTTTCTGGCTAAAAGAGAATAGTGTAGGTGTGCTGAATTTTTTTGTGTAAAACATATCAGAGACCGAAAACCCACACCCCCCAAAATCATTGAGAAGAAACATAGATGCTTCCAGAGTACGGACCTCTTGTGTGCTCTAGAACTCCCCATTGCCTGTGAGGGTGAGATTAGAGACTCTGGGCCACGAGCTTTAGGAAAAGGGAAAAGAGGCCTACTGAGTAGAGCATTAGTTTGTTCCTTTTAGGTTGTATTCTGAAACAAATTTAAAAATAGGAGATTCAAACAAAATTATTACTCAAGTCTTGGGCAAAGATACTGGGGATTATTTTTTAAATAAGACAGACATCATTTACAAAAAGTTTCTGAAACAAAAAAGTTCTGTCCTGACTATATCTAGGCTTCTGTATCCTTCTCTTCTTTATCATAATGACATGTAGAAATTGAATGAGTATTTTCTTTTACTTTGATTTTCCCACTAATTTCTGAAAATTTTAAACTCTTGCCCTAGGAATTCAACTCCTGCAGAAAACTCACATACTCCTGGCTGACACTGAACAATTCAGGGTTATTCTTTCTTAGTCCCACTGCTGAATTCTTCATGCTAGTACTTTATGAGATAGCCTGTGTCCCTGGTCGCGGCTGTGCCTGTCATGTGGCTCAGGACTGCTTTATGCTAAATCATCAGAGGCACTCACATACGTTGCTATATCGCTTGATGCATGTAGCTCCATAATCGTTGGAACAAGAAATGGCATTATTTACATGGAATTTAATCTTTTTTGAAAGAGTGATTCGCCTTTGCAGATGACAGTCATCTCATTATAACTTTGCACCTGCATTAGAAGAAGTCCTGGCCGGGCGCGGTGGCTCACGCCTGTAATCTCAGCACTTTGTGAGGCCGAGGCGGGTGGATCACATGAGGTCGGGAAGTTGAGACCAGCCTGACCAACATGGAGAAAACCCGTCTCTACTGAAAATACAAAATTAGCTGGGCATGGTGGCGCATGCCTGTAATCCCAGCTACTCAGGAAGCTGAGGCAGGAGAATCGCTTGAACCCAGGAGGCGGAGGTTGCAGTGAGCCGAGATCGCGCCATTGTACTCCAGCCTGGGCAACAAGAGTGAAACTCTGTCTCAAAAAAAAAAAAAGAAGTCCCTGAGAGTTTGCTTGTAAACATTTGGATTCATTCTTGCCTCAGATAGATAGCCCATCTCGTAGACAGAGCCTGGGAGTGCCCCAGGTTGCTTGCTGAGTCCCTGAGCAGTTTCCGAAAGCATCATAGGTCAGCTCTGCAGGGGCAACAACCCACTTTTCTGTTGGGGAAAGCCACCTTGCAATACAATTCAAAAAAATATTATTTTAAAAATAAATACAAGAATGGTGCAGTTCAGGTGAGGAGCTGTGGAAATTTCATGTCGTCATCTTTATTTCTACAATATTACAATGATGCTTCTGTCCTAAGAAGCTTGAGACACCGTCATCTTTGTTACTACTATGACTGTTTATGTTAGTGCCTCACCTTTTGGTTTCCTTGTGTGCCCAAAGCTGCTCTCCAGAGAACGTCATCTCAGTTTCCTGATCACAAGCAGGCTTTTCCCTGAGATAGATCCAGGCATTGAATGCCCAGAGCACATTTAGTATGTGCACGAATCCTCTAGCTTCCCCTCGCATTTGTAAAAGAATCTGATTCACCAGGATGTTTTTGGTTCTTTTATGTAATTTTTCATTTCCTGATTGTGGCAGGTTTTTTTCCATTTTCTATTCATCTGTAACTGCTTTGGCTCAGCCCTTTGTCTCCCTACTTTCTGCCCTGCAGCTAACTTCATGAGAAAGTCCCGTGTTCCCTGGGTCTGGAAACCTGTCTTGTCCCAGGAGACACACTCTAGTTTTCAAGAGACGTGAAAGAGCTTCAGCAACCTCAGAATGTTCTGGTGGCAGCATCAAAATCATGACCATGCATGAATAAGGGGTATTGTCATGTGTGTGCTGATAGAGCCCGGGGACCACTGAATTCTAGCCCCATCTCTGAAATATGTGCCCATCAGGGCAGAGCATTTTCTTTTAAGTTCCGCCCAGCTTCTCTGCAAAGTGGGCCACTTTAGTTCTAGATTTCAGAGATCTCTGTATAAACCAGATTACGATTTTAGGGTCTTGAAGGAGAAAAAAAAAATGTCATAAATCTTATTAATACTAATGGCTTTTGTTTTACCAGCAAGAAATAAGTAAATTGCTCTCATTGGGATAAGATAAACCTTTTAATAACCATTTCTTATAGGCACTGAGTAGTTTGTAGGTGGGCATCGAATTTCCAATGTGGAAATTATGCTGAAAAAACTGTCTCCCAGCAGGGGTATTTATTTTCTTTTCTAAGCCCCACAACATCATCAAATGACAAGAGTCAGCATTCTCATATGCATGTGTGTCCTTTGTATGAACCTTATCTGCCCAGTAGTGCCCAGAAATCAAATGAATATAAACTAAGACTTTGTTTTCGATGTGCTTTTTACTTTTGGCATTTATAAACTCTCTGAGTCATCCCTGGGAGTGGAGGCCACAGCAGTGGGACCAGTACTTATATGAATATACAGTCATAGGTTTTATTGTCTTGCTGTCTCTTAAAAAAAAAAAAAAGGAAGTTCTACAAGTCTCATGGAAATACTGGAATTGGAGATACATATTTAACATGCTAACTTTATTAGATCATGATTTCTACCTAATTTGGTTGTGTTTCAGTAAACTACAATCCCCAGTCATGTGACAAACACCTGTTTTTAATAGAATCCATCATCTTCAGAGAAATTGGTTGTATTCATGAGCTAAAACATGAATATATGGGCTGGGTGCAGTGGCTCACGCCTGTAATCCCAGCACTTTGGGAGGCCAAGGCGGGCAGATCACCTGAGGTCGGGAGTTCGAGACCAGCCTGACCAACATGGAGAAATCCCATCTCTACTACAAATACGAAATTAGCTGGGTGTGGTGGCACGCGCCCGTAGTCCCAGCTACTCGGGAGGCTGAGGCAGGAGAATCGCTTGAACCCAGGAGGCGGAGGTTGCAGTGAGCCGAGATCACGCCATTGCACTCCAGCCTGGGCAAGAGGAGTGAAACTCCGTCTCAAAAAAAAAAAAAAAGGAAAAAACCATGAATATATTTTTGTTGTATTTGCTCAGTGTCTGTATTTTTTAAACTACTGAAGACAGTAGGCTTGCTGAGTGGCAGTTTGAGGAGGGCTGTGTCCTTGTGCTGACCCTCTCTCCTCTGTTTCAGAGGTGGTAGCCCAGTGGTGCACACAGGGGGACTTGCTGGCAGTCGCTGGGATGGAACGGCAGACCCAGCTTGGTGAGCTTCCCAATGGTCCCCTTCTGAAGAGTGCCATGGTCAAGTTCTACAATGTTCGTGGGGAGCACATCTTCACACTGGACACTCTCGTGCAGGTAAGGATGTTCTCTGGAAACAAGTACATTTTCAGCAGTATACTAGTGAATAGGTTATTATAATTATTGTTGACAAATTTTATTTTAATCTTTTTTTACCTTAGGTTGTGGTGGGTAAACCAGGAGAAATAAGGGAGAAAGCAGTTTTTGCCTTTTAACCAGAATGCTTTATTCTATTTCCCAGTCAAATGAGCACATAGTGAATAAGCAGAGTAAGCTGGTGTTTATCATCAGTCTGAAGCAGAAATCAGAAAATTGCAGAAGTGAATGCTGAATCTTCACTTATTCACTTGTAGGAGAGGAAGAGTAATTTTCTTCTCTACTCTTAGTGAGTTCTTAGCAGGACTCCCCATTGCAAAAGACAGATTAACAAGAGAAAAACAAACAGAAGTTTAATAACTTGTGTATCTCCTGCATACGTGGGAGTTAACCCAAAGAAATGAGTAAGTCTCTAGAGTAGCTCAAAACATTCTCTTAGACTACAGGCTTAAATGCTTCACGGAAACAGAGAAAGAAGGGTGATATTCATTCTGCAGATTTAAGCCAATGTCTTTTCTTTTTTTTTTAAGTCTCCAGAAGTCCAGTCATCCTTCTCTTCTTGGTGCAGAGAGAGAGAGACCCTTACATATGTAGATTTTCTTTTCTTTTTTTCTTTCTTTTTTTTTTTTTTGAGACGCTTTCTCACCCAGGCTGGAGTGCCGTAGCGCATTCTTGGCTCACTGCAAGCTCTGCCTCCCGGGTTCACACCGTTCTCCTGCCTCAGCTTCCCGAGTAGCTGGGACTACAGGTGTCTGCCACCACGCCCAGCTAATTTTTTGTATTTTTACTAGAGATGGGGTTTCACCATGTTAGCCAGGATGGTCTCGATCTCCTGACCTCATGATCTGCCCGCCTCGGCCTCCCAAGATGCTGGGATTACAGGCATGAGCCACCATGCCCAGCCAGATTTTCTTTGTAGATGTAATTTCTCTTACAAAAGGGTAACTCTTCAGAGTTTACCCTATGTCTTTTTTTTTCCTTTTTTTTTTTTTTTTTTTGAATTGGAGTTTCACTCTTGTTGCCCAGGCTGGAGTGCAGTGGCGCCATCTCGGCTCACTGCAACCTCCTCCTCCCGGGTTCAAGCAATTCTCCTGCCTCAGCCTCCTAAATAGCTGGGATTACAGGTGCCCGCCACCACGCCCGGCTAATTTTTGTATGTTTTTTTAGTAGAGACGGGTTTTTGCCATGTTGGCCAGGCTGGTATTGAACTCCCGACCTCAGGTGATCCACCTGCCTCAGCCTCCCAAAGTGCTGGGATTACAGGCATGAGCCACCACTCCTGGCCTACCTACCCTGTGTCTTTACCCTGTGTGTATCTCAAAATAACCATCTCGAAATTATCCTTACGCCAAAGAGGCAGATCTGTGGTGGCTTATTCTAGTCTCCTACAGTCATATTTGGGGAAGCATGTCCTGAACCCTGTCACACTCTGATTTTATATTTGTTATGCCAGTGATGAACCTTTACATTTTAACTAAATTGTTGTTAAGCAGTAATTTTAAAAGCTTAAAAGTCTTTAAGAAAGTATACACAGATGGGCCCCCTTTCTATTTGTTTTTATTTCCCAGAAATCTTTAGGCCACCTTATGTTTGAGTCAGTTATAGTGGAGGATGAATTATCAGCAGCGCGTAATAGACGTATGCCTGGGAGGGAGTTGACAGTGGAGGTGATAATGAACAAGAATCTGTGTCCTAGGAAGGGGAACATCACACACCAGGGCCTGTTGTAGGGTGGGGGTAGCGGGGAGGGATAGCATTTAGGAGATATACCTAATGTAAATGATGAGTAATGGGTGCAGCACGCCAACGTGGCACATGTATACATATGTAACAAACCTGCACATTGTGCACATGTACCCTAGAACTTAAAGTATAATAAAAATATATATATATATATATAAAAAGAAAAAATAAATGGAATAGACTTCATTAAAAAAAAAAAAAGAATCTGTGTCCTAACATTACTCAGCTCATCAGAGAGGCAGGGATACCAGATATGGGGAAATCTGTAATTACATGCAGGCATTAAATATTTAAATATATATTTTCTTCTTTTAATTGTGGTAAAACACATATAACATAAAATTTATCGTCTTAACCATTTTTAAGTGTACTGTTTTGTAGTGCTGAGTGTATTACATTATTA
Source organism: Homo sapiens (assembly GCF_000001405.40). NCBI lineage: Eukaryota > Metazoa > Chordata > Mammalia > Primates > Hominidae > Homo > Homo sapiens. The sequence continues at coordinate 158,463,915 of NC_000006.12, forward strand.
TACAACCAATTTCCAGCACCTTTTCATCTTGCAAAACTAAAACTCTTTACCTATTAAACAACTACTCCCTGTTTCTCCCTCCTCCCAGTCCATGAGAAGCACCATTTTACTATCTTTTCTGTGAGTTTGACTCTACAAACCTCATGTAAGTGGAATTATGCAATATGTTGACAAACCAAATTCTGTACAATATTTAAAGAGGTTTAGTCTGAGCCAAATATGAGCAACCATGGCCTAGGACACAGTCTCAAGAGGTCCTGAGAATATGTGATGTGCCTTAGGTAGTCAGGTCACAGCTTGGTTTTGTACATTTTAGGGAGACAGAAGTTACAGACAAAGACATACATCAATACCCGTAAGGCACATGTTGGTTAAGCCTGTGGAAAGATAGGACATCTTGAAACCAGGCCATACACATGTCACAGGTGGATTCAAAGATTTTCTGATTGGTTGAAAATCTTTGGTTGGTTGAAAGAGTTAAGCTTTGCCTAAAGGCTTGAAGTCAGGAGAAACAATTGCTTGAGTTAAGGTAAGGGGGTTGTGGAAGCCAACGTTCTTGTTCCCCGCTGCAACACCCCCCGCCGCAAGACGGAGGTCTTGCCCTGTCCCACAGGCTGGAGTGTAGTGGCGCGATCTCAGCTCACTGCAACCTCTGCCTCCCGGGTTTAAGCAGTTCTGCTTTCACCCTGTTGACCAGGCTGGTCTCCAACTCCTGACCTTGTGATCCGCCCTCCTCGGCCTCCTATAGTGCTAGAATTACAGGCAGGAGCCACTGCGCCTGGCCCCAAGGTTCTTGTTATGCAGATGAAACTACTTAAGTAGCAGGCTTCAGGGTGAATAAATGGTAAATGTCTCCTTTCAGACCTTAAAAGGTATCAGACTCTTGGTTAAATGTCTCCTGAATCAGGAAAAGACCTAGAAAAGGAAGGAGATTCTCTACAAAATGCAAATTTCCCAACAAGAGATGGTTTTGCAGGGTTTTGCCATTTGCGGGTTTTGCCATTTGCAGGTTTTGCCATTTCAAAATATATCAACAAACTATATTTGGGGGTAAAATACTTTGATTTCCTTCAACGTGATGGTATGTCATAATCACGTTGGAATTTGGTATCTTATTGCTACGAAGAGTCAGTTTTATCAGTCTTTCCTCTATTTTAATGTTAATGTTGGTCAGTTGTGCCTAAACCCCAAAGGGATGGGGGCAATTTAAGGACCATGCCCAAACTTCCTTCCTGTCACAGCCTGAACTAGTTTTCTAGACTCCTTTGGGATCCCCTTGGCCAACAGCAGGCCCATTCCGTAGGTTGGGTGGCTTAGAATTTTATTTTTGGTTTACAAGTGTTTATTTTTTTCTGACTGGCTTATTTCACTTAGCATAATGTCCTTAAGGTTCATCCATGTTGTACCATGTGTCAGAATTTTCTTTCTTTTTAAGGCTGAATAATATTTTATTGTATGGATATACCACATTTTGTTTACCCATTGATGGACATTTGGGTTTCTTCCATCTTTCGGCTGTTGTGAATAATTCTTCTGTGAACATGGGTGTACAGATCTCTTTGAGACCCTGCTTTTCAAGTCTTCTGGATTTGTGCCCAGAAGTGGACTTGCTGGATCATATGGTAATTCTATTTTTAATTTTGTGAGGAACTGCCGTACTGTTTTTTCATAGCAGCTTGTTAACAGAAAGACTAAACTGTAAAATATTTTAAAGAGGTTTATTTTGAGCCAGTATGAGTGATGCTGGCCCAGCAAAACAGTCTCAAGAGGTCCTGAGAAAGTGCGCCCGAAGCAGTTGAATTACAGTCTGGTTTTGTACATTTCAGGGAGGCAAGAGTTACAGGCAAAGACATAAATCAACATGTGGAAGGTATACGTTGGCTCAGCTTGAAAATGTGGAATATCTTGAAACCAGGAGAAGTAGAGGAGTATACAAGTCAGGTAGATTCAGAGATTCTTTAATCTACAGTTAGTTAAAGCAACAAAATTTGGTCTAGAACTTGGGAGTCAGCAGAAAGGAATATTTTAAGTTAAAACGTTCGGAAGCTATGTCAGAGTCAGCCAAAATTATGACCCATTTAGTGAGATTGATGGCCTGTAGGCATGGCTCAAGGCTTGCCTTGCATGGCCTTAGGTATTGTTTAGAATTTGTTATCTTATTGCCATCAAGAGCCTTTTGTCAGTCTTATGATCTCTATTTTAACATTTACTCAGGTCAGTTGGACCTAAATTCCAGATGGGAGGGAGTATAATGAGGTTGTGTCCAGCCTCCCTTCCTGTCATGGCTGGGAATTCAGTTTTTAAGGTTTTTCTGGGGTTTCCTTGGCCAAGAGAGTCTCCATTCAGTCGATAGGGGGCTTAGGATTTTATTTTTGGTTTACAAGCGGCACCATTTTACATTTTCACTAACATTACACAAGGATTCTAGTTTTTCCACATCCTTGCCAACATTGTCATTTTTCTGGGATTTTTTTTGGACTAACCATCCTCTTGGATGTTAGGTGATATCTCATTGTGGTTTTGATTTGCATTTCCTAAGGATTAATAATGTTGATTAGTGATGTTGTCGTGTATCTTCTTTTGAGAAATGTGTGTTCAAGTCCTTTGCCCATTTTTCAATCAGGTTATTTGGGTTTTTGTTTTTAAGAAGTAGGATTAAACTGTGTCTTTGGGCAGTATAATATTTTGAGCAAATAAGCATATTTGTTCACTCATTTGTTCAAGCATCCAGCCAAGATATTTTGAGGAGCTACTGTGTGGCTGGCACTGAGCTCTGAGTGCTTGTGTTTCAGGGCTGAACAAGGAAGACATGATCCATATCTCCTAGGAGCTCACAGCTAGTTAAGGAAGACAGACAAGTGATGACACAGAAATGCTTTTGACTTTGAAGTAGAACTGTTTACCTGGTGCTTTGATAACCTGGAGGAAAGGAGTCTTGCACCTGCTCTTTGTGGGTATTTTTCCACCTCTGCCTGATCACTTTTCGCACTCTGTATTCCTCAGACAATTTCAACCAGTCTTACAGCTTTAATTCCAATCTCAATGAAGGTCTGAAGCCTAAGGAAAGAGGCCTGTATAGACCCACCTGCTTACTTCACAGACCCATTAGCCATCTCATAAGCATTGCACATTCAACATGCCCAAATCTCGGAACACTCCACCTCTTAAATAATGCTCCTCTTCCAGGTTGTGGTCCAGCTGCTCAAGCCAGAAGTCAGCAGTCAGCCTGTCCACTGAATCCCAGTGGGTATTTTTACCTCCTAGATATCTTCATGTCTACATCCTTTTGTCTTCCTTGGCCACCACCTTAGTCCAAGCCACCCTCATCTTAGCTGCAGTGTTTGAGCCACGACTTTCCCTTTCTTTTTTTTTTTTTTTTTTTTGGACAGAGTTTCGCTCTTGTTGCCCAAGCTGGAGTGCAATGTTGCGATCAGCGTTCACTGCAACCTCTGCCTCCCAGAATCAAGTGATTCTCCTGCCTCAGCCTCCCGAGTAGCTGGTATTACAGGCGCGTGCCACCACACCCGGCTAATTTTTTGTACTTTTTTAGTAGAGATGGGGTTTTACCATGTTGGCCAGGCTGGTCTTGAACTCCTGACCTCGTGATCCACCCGCCTCAGCCTCCCAAAGTGCTGGGATTACAGGCGTGAGCCACCGCGCCCTGCCTGCCTTTCCCTTTTAAACTGTTCTTCACTTTGCAGCCACAGTCTTTGTAAAATCACAAGTCAGATCAGTAGCTTCTTACTATCCTTAGGATAAAGTTAAAAAATTCATTGTGCCTTAAAAAGATCACCATAATCTGGCCCTCCATCCCCTCTAGAATTAGCTCTTACCACTCCATCCTCCTCTGACCCTGCCAATCTGGATTTTTCTGTTTCTCAGTTTACCAGATGCCTCCTTTCTTCCAAGCTTTGCACCACGCCTGGAACAGATCTTGGCTCATGGCAGTCTCAGTAAATACTGGTTGAATGAATCAGTGAGCCTTAACATTGTATCTTACTGCTGCCCATTACTTGGTGAGTTATGTTGGGGCAGCAATCCTCTCCAGGGGGCACCAGCTGCAGAGAGTCTGTCCCTTGCAGACCCCTGACCCAGCAACGGATGAATAAAAGTACACTGACACACAGATACTCTGCTTTGCCAGTCCAGCTGTGTGGGAGCCGCTTACAGACTCCCTGCTGAGTCGTGTAAACAGTTGCGACTCCACTCGCATTTATTCAGTAAGATTAATTAACAAAAGCTTGAGTCAACACCATTAGAGGGTAATTGACATTGTGGACTTCCCCAGTAAAAAGCACTTAAGCACCTGGTACATCAAAGGTTAGTCTTAAGATTATATGAGTAAACAAGCTAGGTAGGTAAACTACGCTGCCTTTCTTTATTACTATTTTAATTTGTTTAACTAAAGGTAAAGGGATCAGGCCGCCTTCAGCCAGATAAATTACCGAAGTTACACAAACTTCTCAGTTTTCCAAGATTTGTGTCTATTTCTATAACTATCTCTAATATTTTTCCACCAGCCTGATTGAACCCCAGCATTATGTAATTTCCAAGGATCAGATAACTTAAACTTATTTGCCATTTATATTATCTCTTGGTTTCTTTAGCCACTGGCAATCGTAACATAATTTCTTTTAAAAAAATTAATAATAAATCACTTTTAGAAATAGAATACAGTTTGATTACAGCATAGTTTATGTAAGGGACAACAACAGGAAGTAAGACTAGAAAAGTGTCTTAGGACCAAATGTGTCTTAGTCTGTTTGGGCTGCTATAAGAAAATACCTTAGACTGGGTGATTTATAAATAATACAAATTTAATTCTCACAGTTTTGGAGGCTGGGAAGTCCAAGATCCAGGCACTGATAGATTCAGCGTCTGGTCCGCTCCATAGATGGCGCCTTGTGCCTGTGTCCTCACATGGTAGAATGAGTAAAAGCAGGGAGGCGCCTCCCTTTAATCTCTTTTATAAGGGCACTAATCCCATCGTGAGGGTGGAGGCCTTATGACTTAATCACTTCCCAAAGGCCCCACCTAATACCACCACCATGGGAACTAGATTGCAACAAGAATTTCGGAGGGACACACATTCAGACCATACATAGCACTGACCAAGATGTTAAACTTCATTTGGCCTTTTGTTTTGTATTTTTATTTTATGAGCAAGGGAGAGGTGAGACAGGGCTTTGGGGAGACTAAACTGACGTCAGTGTTATTATCTCAGTAAGACGGAATCAGGACAAAAATCCAGAACGGTGAAAATAGAGTGGAAGAGAGACACAGAGTTCAGAGAGATTGTAAGAGATTTGGCTTCTGGAGGACTGTGAGGAGGAGGAGGTCAGTACTAGTGAAAACAGACCTTTTTTTTTTTTTTCTCGAGACAGGATCTCACTCTGTCATTCAGGCTGGAGTGCAGTGGCATGATCTTAGCTCACTGCAACCTCCACCTCCTGGGTTCAAGCGATTCTCCCACCTCTGTCTCCCGAGTAGCTGGGACTACAGGTGTGTGCCACCACACTGGCTAATTTTTGTATTTTTTGGTAGAGACAGCGTCTCACCATGTTGGCCAAGGCTGGTCTTGATTTTCTGACCTCAAGTGATCTGTCTGCCTCGGCCTTCCAAAGTGCTGGGATTACAGGTCTGAGCCACCACACCTGGCCAAAAGCAGACCATTTTAGTTACTGTTGCAGCCACATCTCTAAGTGTGGAAGGCGTTTGGGGATGAGGGACTAGAACTGAGGCAAGAGATTGGGGTGGAGATAGAGATTTGGAGTCATCCACATGGAGGCCATAGTTGGAGAAATGAAATGGATTTAATGTCAAAGGAATGAATAGAACGAGGGGAAATGAGGAAAGGGCCAAGCATAGAACTTTGGGTAGTGGAGTGATAGCCTTCATTTAACAAGCAGCAGAAGGAAGGAGATGGAAGAGGAATGTCATAGAGAGCTGTTACCAGGGGTCCTTGCTCCCAGAGCTCCCAAGATGGTGGTGGGCTGCTTCCAGAATGGCGGCGGGCCACTTCCAAGATGGTGGCAAGCCTCGTGTTCTCTGACCTGGGGTTCTTGGCCTCACGGATTCCAAGGAATGGAATCTTGGGCCATGCAGTGGGTGTTATAGCTCTATTAGAAGTCGTGGGTCACGGAAGAGAACCGTGGAACCCAGTGACTAGTGTTCAGCTCGATTAGGGTGAACACAGTCACTTAGCCGTGCAGGAACAATGGCAAGCCTTTAGCCTGATCGGGAGCGGCAATGGGCACCTCGCTGGATCAGGAACACAGCAGACACCCTGCCAGATTCGGAGGGATGGGAGTCAGCGGCGGGTCTGCGACGGCGGCAAACAGCAGTGGTGGACAGCGAGCGAAAGCTCAGCTTGAGCCTTAACAAACATGGACCAGAAGAGTGCAGTTGCAAGATTTAATAGAGTGAAATAGAGTGAAAACAGAGCTCCCATACAAAGAGGGGACCCAAAGGGGGTTGCCGTTGCCGGCTTGAATGCCTGGGTTTATATCCCGATCCTTGTCCCTCCTGCTGTGCTCTCAGGCAAGAGATGATTGGCTATTTCTTTACCTCCTGTTTTTGCCTAATTAGCATTTTAATGAGCTCTCTAATTGGTTGGGTGTGAGCTAAGTTGCAAGCCCTCTGTTTAAAGGTGGATGCGGTCACCTTCCAAGCTAGGCTTAGGGATTCTTAGTCGGCCTAGGAAATCCAGCTAGTCCTGTCTCTCAGAACCATTAAAGGAAATATGTCAAACAAGAGAACAACAGTTGAAAGTAGACATGAAACATTGGATTTGGAGGTTTTAAGGTCAAAAATGGTCTCACTAGAATGGTGATGGAAGTCACATGGTAAAAGATTTTTCGTTCATTCAGTCATCTTTATTGAGCCATCTGTATGCCAAGCATTGTTCTAGGTGCTGGAGATACAGCTGTGACAGCCAAGATAAAGAATTGGCGACTAAGCAGCTAGTGAAGAAGTTGAGGCAGCACATGTAAACTACTGTTTTGACTGGGTTTGAGGGGAAGGCAGAGAGAGGATGGTAACTTGAAATGGAGAGGCATGACTGTGTTCATATACAATTAATAAGTCTTTGGGGAAAAAAGAAGAAATAAGCAAGAAAAAGTACAGCAAGGGACAAGAGCCCAGTGCAAGTTGGAAGATGTGGGTTTGAGGGCAGTAGGGAGGTTTAATCTGGAAGAGACAGAAAGGAAGGAGAGATTGTAGAAAGAGACAAAGGATTTTTAAGTACAGGAGGGAGCCAAAGCACACACACACTACAGGACAATGCCTGTCTTCTCAATAAGCTAAAAAGGCAGGATGAAAAGCACAAGGAAGATTCGGCAGGAGTGCCATGGAGTGCCATCCACTTGCCATTCCGGATAATAAAGTGAGAGTCAGTGATGTCCATGCCTTCACTGTAATCCTAGAGTCAGTAGTACCGATTGCCTAAAATTAGGAACTGGAAAGGTGAGTGTAGTAGCAGGGCCAAGGAGTCGAAGGAATCTAGGAAACTGCTAAGGATACTATGGAATTGGGCAGCCATGGCATCAGTGGTTAGATACTTCATGACCTGAGGCTAGGAAGTGTAAAGTCATAAAAAGACATGTTCAAGAGGAGGTGATACAAACAAAATGGGAAGTTGTGGTTGGATAGGGACTTTAAATTTCTGTTTTGGAAGTGAAGTCATTCTGCGTTAACCCAGGAAAGAGCTGAAGTAGAACAGAGTTAAGGCCATATGTATGAGGCCAGGGCATTGGCAAAACAAACATAAATATTAGAGTTCCTGTGGATTTGGGATTGAAGGAAGGAGAGATTACCTTGATTCTGTTTGTGTCCCCACTGCCAGTTCATTGCCTAGAACGTAGTAGGTACTTAGTAAATCTTTCTTCAGTGGGTTTATGGATGGACTGGTGTCAACATAGGCTTTCTTTCATCTTTCTGTTGATTGTTTGAACCTGTAGGCTGTGTCACATTTATAATCAATCTGATGCTGGCTTTTTATAAGGCTTTTATGATTAGAATATTTGTGAATTCAAGTGCTGAAACACACTCAGCATTGTCCCCACTTCATCTGACTTAGGGCCCCCTTCCTGCTGGCATTGTGTTCCTTCTACAGGGAATGTCCTTCCCGCCGTTTTAGCTCAGGAATTGGATCCTCCTCAGTGCCAGCTCAGTCACGTTTTCTTTTAAAGCTGCCTAGTGGATTGAGGCTCCCCTTCTCTGTAAACCCTCGGGGTGTTTAACACCTCTGGCATGTATTACACTTTTCTGTCTACTTGTCTTATTTTCCTGAAGACAGAGGCTTCCTTTTTCTGACCAGTGCCTAGACTGTAGTAAAGGTTTTATGGCCTTAACCATTGCAGAAGTTCTCATCAGCCATCACATGAAAGTAACATGGATCCTGAATTTAAACTATTTGAGCTCAGGAATAAGAGAAAAGGCCCTGACTGATCTTCCTTTGAAGAAAGATATCCCTACAGTACCTCAGCATTTCAATAAATTATTGATTCTTTTTTTCATTGAGGGTCCATTTCAACCATTGAAAAAATCGCCTCAATAATAGAAAGTTAAATAATGATGCCATTAAAAATCAAGTACAATATTAATTATATTTAGCACCAGTTTAACTCTTGTCTAATGATTCGAAAATCACATGTGATCTATGCTGTGCTATTCAAGGAGTCCAAAGGCAGGGACATTTTTATAGCAGGAAGGAAGTTAGGCGATTTATTGGACTGCTTATAAAAAGAACTAAATGCAATTTAGATTGGATAATGTATTTCCAAGTTAATTAGATTGTAGGGTATTGCGTACAAAACCATTGCCTGGGACGAACTTGCAGCAGCAGCAGCAGCTTTAAAATTGATTCTCCTGATTTACTTGTAACAGCAATGCTTGTGGCTGGAGCTCTTCTAAGGAAATATGCTCTGATTTATTTTCCTTTCTGTCCTACATGTTGTAATGTAAAATTCTGTAATTTATCTCATTAGCTGTTATCTGTGACTCTCTATATATTCTTGCATATCTGAAAATATAACAGGTTTTCAGAGTTAGCACTACTGACTGAAGTTTGTAGGCTTCAATAATTTAGGCCCAGGTTTTTGTTTTGTTTTATGGTCTTCTGGCATTGAAGGCCAGTGGAGAGGTCACCCTATATTCTGTAAGGTTCAGTTGTTGATGTGATACTGGGTAAAAAATTAAGAGAAGAGAAGGTGGAAAAAGATGGGTATGGGAATTTAAAAATCAAATAAGAGATTGCATGTGTGATTGTGGACTTCTGTACTCTTGGAGGCGAATCCTATAGCAAAAATAGACTTGCATTCTTTCACTTAGGATTAACTCTGCCTGTTCTGCTGAAGTTGCCCCTGTTGTGCTTTTCCCATTTTTTCTTGTAAGTAGATGAGAAAGTCCTTCATGGGTCTTGTCTGCTTACAAAATACAAGGATGGTTGTGTTCTTTTAAAACTAAAATTTGGTTGACCGAACGCTGAACTAGCTTTTATTACTACAATTTAGTTGGTGGCCAAATCATTATAACTTTGTATTCAAAATTGTCTGTGGCTCCAACCAACGTAGTTTGACGGTGACCGATCACCAACTTGGTCTGTTTTTGTTTGTTTGTTTTTAGACAGAGTTTTGCTCTCGTTGCTTAGGCTGGTGTGCAATGGCGCGATCTCAGCTCACTGCAACCTCTGCCTCCCGGGTTCAAGTGATTCTCCTGCCTCAGCCTCCCGAGTAGCTGGGACTACAGGCATGTGCCACCACGCCCGGCTAATTTTCTTGTATTTTTAGTAGAGACAGCGTTTCACCATGTTGGTCAGGCTGGTCTCAAACTCCTGACCTCACTGATTCTCCTGCTTCAGCCTCCCAAAGTGCTGGGATTACAGGAGTGAGCCATAACATGCCTGGCCTTTTAAAAATTTGTTATAAACAGAGTCTCACTGTCTCCCAGGCTGGAGTGCAGTGGCATGATCATAGCTCACTGTAGCCTCAACCTCCTGGGCTCAAACGATCCTCCTGCCTCAGCCTCCCAAGTAGCTAGGACTACAGGTGTGCACCACCACACCCAGCTAATTTTGAAAATTTGTTTTGTAGAGACAGGGTCTTGCTATGTTGCCCAAGCTGGTCTTGAATTCCTTGCCTCAAGCAATCTTCCTGCCTCAGCCTCCCAAAGTGCTGGGATTATAGGCATGAGCCATTGCACCTTGCCCTTCTTCTGTTTTAAAGTGAACTATTTTGCACATGTTTGTACAGACATAAAACATTTCATCCTACTAGGTGCATTTTCTTCAAGACAGATCCCCCATCCTTCTTAGGGAGAGCTACAGAAAGAACAAACAAAGGGTGGAGAGGGAGGCTGGAGAGCCTCCGACTGTCCCAGGAATCTGCCTCCTCGGTGGCCGGGTAGCCAGTCCTCAGCCCAAGGCCTCCCTCAGTCATCCAGAAACCCTGTGCTGGCACTGCCTGGTTTTCCCTGTCCAGGACCAGTATAGTTGGTTTTTGTTCCTCCTACATTTTCAGAAGACTCTATCCAACTCACTGCTATATACAAAAATAGTAATATAGTGAGGAAGCTTTCAATTCCAATTAAATAGATTTCTCCTCTCAGCCAGGCCTCTGCTCAAACCACCTCCAGGGCAGCCTCCCTGCTCCCTCTCTTCAAAAAGACCCCCTTGCTGTTGCTCTGGCTCTCGCTCAACACTGTTTTTTACTTCACGGAATTTCACTACCTCACGTTATCAGGTAGTTCCTGTCACAGATACTGAGATACAGGTTGAGTACTCCTTATCTGAAATGCTTAGGACCAGAATTGTTGTGGATTTCAGATTTCTTTTTAATTTCAGAATATTTGCATTGTATCAGGTGAGCATCCCAAATCTGAAAATTCGAAATACTCCAATGAATATTTCCTTTGAGCATCTTGTTGGCACTCCAAAAGTCAGATTTTGGAGCATTTTGGGTTTCAGATTTTCAGATTAAGGATACTTCACCTGTATTTATTCTCTCCCTGCCACGCCAGGATGTAAGCTCTACAAGGGCAGAGAATGTATTTGATTCATTGTCAGTCCCCTTATAACTAGCATGGATCTGTCCATTTGTATACATTTAGCAAATATTTATCTAATGACTAACAGCTCAGTAGATAAAAAAATGATTGGCTGGACGCATGGCATGTCTTGTGTACTAGCAGGAGGAGAGGTGGCAGAGTAAGGAACGGGCACCAGGCCTTGATTGCCACACTCCCTGGTGGGAGGTGAGGCAGGGCTGGCCCGCATCTTTTCCTTTCCGGGGCTCAGCCTCAGCATTGAGGGGGAGAAGCCAGAGGAGAAGCCTGCCCCTCCATGGGCCACTCGCCTCCAGCACTGTGGCCTAGAGTTTGTCCTTTCCAGCTGAGCAGTGGTTCTCCCTGTTCCACCAGACCCACACTCCCTGAAATGCAGCTCAGTTTCTTGCACTTTTGCCTCAGATTTAGACGTGTAAAATATGTGAACCTCCCTATGCAAATTAAGATTTGAATGTCATCTGCTTCACAGTTCTAGCCATCAGTTCTAAAAATAGTCGTTTTATGGGATTTGAGAAAGAGATTAAGACCGCAAACTTACAATTGAGTTTTTCCCTAGCAGACAGCAGCTGTTCAAACACAACGTGAATCTGGGAGCTTTGAAGAGCTGTGCTGTTCTGCTGCGGCTCAGCCTAGTAGGCGGAGGTTCTTAGGGAGGAGGTACCTTCAGCATGGGTGAGGTCTGTGGGCCTGCAGACAGTGTGTTCATGTTCTGCCATCACCCATGAACCTAGAGGACAGAGTGATGGAAATTGATGACTGTGAGGTGGCAAAATCAGGACTAGCGTTAGTGAACGCCCCGCCCCGTGTCTGTGGCCACATGCAGTTAGCGCCATTTGACTCTTGTTCTTGCCAAAACTACAGAACATTTGTAGCGAGGGCTTTATAGGCTGGAATACCAGTAAACAGCCAGGGAAAAATTAACACCAGCAGAAATGTGACTTTTAAAAAGTAAGATGACCTGTTAGGGACTTTCTGTGGACTTACAGGGGTCCTGAGAAGTCATACCCTGCTGCCTCACTTCTGACCAAACAGTCATCACAGTCATTCATTTCCCCAGGTCAGTGATGACTCAGAATCTTCAGACAAGAGGGGCAGTTCTTGTTATCTGTCACTCCTTCCCCGTTTTTCTAGCACAGCCTTAAAATTATTATGGCAAAGGTACCAGCGTTTATTTTGCTGCTTTATCATCTTACATGGACTATATGCTACACAAACTAAATTAAATTAAATCAATGTGTCCGTGCCCTGCCCTCTCCCAGAGTAAGTTTTCACTTACTTGGGCAAGTAAATGAGTGCTGCACCCTAATTAATTTAATGTAAATTCCTGTGTTGGTGTTCTTGTCCCATTCTTAGAAGAGGGGATTTCCTGGTAACGTTGCCCTAGATAATAATTATTCCTTTGAGACCCTGCAGACCTCACTTCTCCAGGCTAAATAATTTCAGCCCTTTTTCTCCCAGGTTCTAATGTTCCATCCTTTAATCTTTCGCGTCTTCTCACTCCTGCTTGGCTGAGAATTCCAAGTCGTCCGAGCGAATGCGCTACCTGGTTTGGAGTCACACCATCCTCCCTCGCCTTCGAGATGTGCCAGCGACTGTGTTCCGTGTTCATCCAACCATGCTACCTGCCTAATTACCTGTGGGCTCTCTTCTGCTGTGATGAACCCCGCAGATCATTTATTTATATGCTGTGTAAACAGCCTGTTTCTCTTCCTATTTGCCTTTTCTATAGACATGTTTGGTTTGTTTCTGAGTAAAGCAGCTTTGACCAAATGGACTAAGGGGCCATCTGGGGCTCACGATTTTGTATGTGATGGACAAATGGTTAAATTTTTCAGTGGAGTATTACGCATTCTTTAGGCTGTGGTATCAATATGTTGGCACTTCAGAGAGTCAGCACCATGTAGTAAGATAAGGACCAGCAGTGGAGCTGGGGAGGGATGAGAATCACAGCTCTTCCACCATTTATTACTATAACAAGGTACCTAGCCTGCCTTAGCCTCTCTAACCTCATATGTTAGATGAGAATAATGTTATTCATGTGGGAGAGTAGAACGGATGCAGTGAATTCAGGTATGTGAGCATTTGATGTGCTTGCTGTTGGAATGTAGTTTTGCAGACAAGGTTGTTTTTGTCAGGATGGGTGGTAATTATATATATAAAGGTAACAAAGCTGATTTTCATCTAGTTGAAGGTCTGTGTGAGTGGTTTAAGTTCTTGGTACAAAGATATAAGAGACACATACTTATGATAATTTTATATAAAATATATCATCAACTGTTATACAGAGATAGTTACTATGAAAAGCAGAACTAGGAGGGAGGAGGACAGAGGATAAATACAGAGTGTCTGCCTTTCAGATAGCTGGACTAAAGAGGAATGGGAAATTAGAGGGAAGAAGTGTCTGATGTTTCTGCAGCCAGTCAGGTTGTGCTCATTGAAAACTGTTTTTCCAAACAACCTCATTAAAAAGTGGGCAAAGGACATGAACAAATACTTTTCAAAAGAAGACATACATGCAGCCAACAAGCATATGAAAAATGCTCAACATCATGAACCATTAGAGAAATGCAAATCAAAACCACAGTGAGATACTATCTCACACCAGTCAGAATGGCCATTATTAAAAAATCAAAGAATAATAGATGTCGGCATGGTTGCAGAGAAAAGGAAACGCTTCTACACTGCTAGTGGGAGTGTAAATTAGTTCGGCCATTGTAGAAAACAGTGTGGCAATTCCTCAAAGAATTGAGAACTAACGTTCGACCCAGCAATCCCATTACTGGGTATATACCCAAAGGAATATTTGTTCTATCATAAAGACCCATGCATGCATATGTTCATTGCAGCACTATTCACAATAGCAAAGATATGGAATCAACCTAAATGCCCATCAGCAGTAGACTGGATAAAGAAAATGTGATACATAAACACCATGGAATACTATGCAGCCATAAAAAAGAACAAGATCATGTCCTTTACAGGAACATGGATAGAGTTGGAGGCCACTATCCTTAGCAAACTAACGTAGGAACAAAAAAACCAAATACCATATATTCTCACTTCTAAGCCGGACCTGAATAACAAGAACACATGGATACAGGAAGGGGAACAACTTGAGGGTGGAGAGTGGGAGGAGGGAGGAGGGAGAAGATCAGAAAAAATGCCTGTCGGGTACTATGCTTATTATCCAGGTGACAAAATTACCTGTACACCAAATCCCTGTGACACAGTTTACCTATATAACCTGCTTGTGTACCCCTGAACATAAAAGTTAGAAACAAAAATAAAACCATTTTTTGGGGGACTTGAGCTCTAAGTTATGAATATTGTCTTAGGGGGCTCAGAGGTAAAGGGACAGCAGCGTATCTTTAAGATCAAGCATGATTTTGTTACTAATAGAGCCTCTGTCCTAACCTGTACTTTTGGGGGTTGACGATACCAGAGTAATTTTTCTGTGCATTTTCTGTGTGTTGGTTTGCCCTGTCTTCAGCAGTGATTATGTATTTCTGTAAGTTAATAGGTCCCTTTGTGTGGGGCCTGCCCCCTGTGTGGAATCATCTCATATGGAGACATGTCCTGGAAGTGTCCCAGAAGCCCCTAGACTTGAGTTTTCCAGACTCCTTGGCCAACAAACACGGCCCTCCCCTGGGGACTGTGGCCATCACCCCACCCTGCAACTGCCTGGCCTCCTGTGGTAGAAAGGGAAGATGAATGATCATCAGCGCTCCATCTGTCTGGATCGGAATGAACAAATCTCTTGCTGCTTCTCCGTCACGACCCTTCACCTTTCTTTCTCCCTTGGCTAGATGGCACCCCTGAGCTTTGGATTTTTTTTTATTATAAGAATTTTCTAACTTGCATATTTGCATTTTGGCCTGCATTCTCAAAGATAATGATGGCCATGACCCTAGCGAGGCTACCACAGGAACCGTGTTCTCCTCAATCGCCTTTCCAGGGAGCTTTCTTTCCCTGCACCGTCAGTGCCAAGGGAGGCTGAAAATGCAGTGACTGTGGGTTATATACTGTGATGGCCCCAGAAGGGCTGTGACTCCATCACCTCCTGTAATCCTCACAGGGTCCCCACTCATGAGAAAAGGGGGAGGCTTCTAGGGGTTATGGATAGTCCCCAGGTCACACAGCTGGTAAGACCAAGTCCATTGTTGATCTGACTCTGGACGGAAGGGAAGGGCCATCTGGTCTACCTCATCACCACCTCCCCAAGCCATGGGAACCACCCTTGGGTAATTTGGGAATCTAGAAAAACAGCCCTTCAGTAAGGAATGTGAGTTACTGCACCACAAGGTGATTGCCCCTACTAGTAGAAACCTTACTACCCAGAGCTCAGTTGGGTTTCATGACCCCAAATTAAATGAAATATAATACAGGTAAACAAACTTTATAAAATTATTCCAATGCTTTAATGCTCTGGCCTGGGGACCTAATTACTTTTATTTTATTTTGTTTTATTTTTAAGATGAGAATCTCGCTGTATTGCCCAGGCTGGTCTTTCAGCCTGGCCTCATGCAATCTTCCCACCTTGGCCTTCTAAAATGCTGAGATGACAGCCTTATGCCACCATGCCCAGCCCTCTAGCCAATTTTCAATAAACATACTGAATTTTCGTAATATAGTGTCTAACATTCTCTACTGTGCTTTTAAAACCAGTATTCTCAAAACAGCTTATTTTATTTTGCTCGAGACAAGTGTGCATTATCCCTTTTTGCTTCCCACAAGAGCAAAAGCTTAAGCATTGTCTTCCCTTCACTTCCTGCCAGCGCCCCATCATCTCCATCTGCTGGGGTCACCGGGATTCGAGGCTGTTGATGGCATCAGGACCAGCCCTGTACGTGGTGCGTGTGGAGCACCGGGTGTCCAGCCTGCAGCTGCTGTGCCAGCAGGCCATCGCCAGCACCTTGCGTGAGGACAAGGACGTCAGCAAGCTGACTCTGCCCCCCCGCCTCTGCTCCTACCTCTCCACTGCCTTCATCCCCACCATCAAGGTAAAGCCCTCCACCCCTCCCTCTTCCTCCTCCCTCACCTGTGCTGGCTCCCCACAGAGCCAGGGCAGAGACAGGTGAGGGTACCAGAGTGAGCACATGGGGCCATGTGCAGCTGTGCAGGATCCTGTCATGTGCTGCCAGGTCTGCAGTCTGTCGAAGCATCATGGTCCATGTCCATGAGAGATTTGCCCTGTGTGGTGGCTGTTATCTTTCTCATGGCAAAGCTGGTATTCCTGGACTTCTGTGTCCCTCTGATGATCAAAGGAGTGACCATTATTCAGCATTTCCTATATACTAAGCATTGCACCAGTTAATTTTTAGAAATCTGTCTTGTTCAGTCCTGACTTCCTGACAGATGCCATTATTCGCATTTAAGGAAGCAGGAAACAAGTTAGGAGAAGTTAAGTAACTTGCTCCCTAGCTGGTTAGGGGGACAGTCAGGATTAGACCCACCCCAGTTCTAGGGCCTGCTCTCAGCACTGCTGAGGAGGGCCACTCCAGCCAGCACTCAGCGTCAGCCACCTTTTATACCAGTGGGAACTCTAGAAGGTAGCATGTAGAATGCATCTGCCAGTTGCTGTTCAAGTGTGGGTCCCCCTAACCTTGGGTTTTCCCAAGTGGTTCTCTTTTATATTCTGTCTCTCTTCTTCTGAGTAGCAGACCCATTTGTTGGTTACTTTTTTCCTGAAACATCAAAGTTTTAGAATCTGTTGGGTTGTTTTTTTTTCCTAAGTTGCCTTACACTATTGATTCTACACGAGCAGATCTCAACACCGGTGTATTATATAGCATTGGAAAATACAGGTGCCCAAGGCTGCCCCTGTGGATCCTGATTTCATTGTCTGATGTGGGATCCTGGTTTAGATATGCTTCGAAAGCTTGCAGGAGATTCTCACATGCTCCTACCATTGCAAACCACTGTTCTACACCACATAGTTACCCTCTTCCCCAGGCCCCCAGCCTGTGCTCTGTCTGGAACAGTAGCGTTTTTAGTTGACCTGCCCCCGTGCCCACTCTCTTTCCCTCTCTCTCTGCCTCTCTGGAGTCCCAGCTCTTCATTTTCTTCCTGTATCCTCCAGCCCCCAATTCCAGATCCGAACAACATGAGAGACTTTGTCAGCTACCCATCAGCCGGCAACGAGCGGCTGCACTGCACCATGAAGCGCACAGAGGACGACCCGGAGGTGGGCGGCCCGTGCTACACGCTCTACCTGGAGTACCTGGGCGGGCTTGTGCCCATCCTCAAAGGGCGGCGCATCAGCAAGCTGCGGCCAGAGTTCGTCATCATGGACCCGCGGACAGATAGCAAACCAGGTGGGCCCCTCACCCGAGGGACTGGGACCTTGTTCTCCTGTGGTCATGGGCTGTTAACGCCTTACACCCCATGCAAAGAGAATGTCTGCTAATGAAACGTGAGCCTGTGGGGGCTAGTGTGGAACATCCTTGAAGCTACGACATTTCCAGAATCCCATTGAAATGAACAGTTCTCTAAATGTACTTTTTGACAGGTTTTTAATCATATTCCATGGGCAGTGGATAGCTGGGCGGTGGATAGATGAACCAGGCAAGGGGAAGTTGGCGCAGTCCTCCTGGGAGTGAGGGTTTCCTCTTCACAGTTACCGAGTATTCATCGAGTGCCTTCATGTAATATTGAGACAACTTGAAAATAATAACAAGATACAGTCCCTACCCTCCCAGAGTGGATGATAAAATTGAAATCAAACCTTCAGCCTCCTACCCCTCCCTAGTCTACTGTTAACTGCTTTTTACCTGATTGCTAATGACAATGTTTTGCTCATCCATAAAGATGTTGGTATGAGTCACCCTTTTCTTCTAAAAACCTTTCCCTGCAGTGATTTTCATTGCTCAGTTAATGTATTCAAGATGCTCCCTGCACATCTCTCTGGGATCCTAGATTGTAAGCTTCAGAGGGAAGGGACTTTGTTCTTTTTTTGTGCCACTTGGTACTAGGCTAGTGTCCGTGCACCCATCAGTCACTGCCAGCTCAGTCTGCCACCTCCCTCTGAAACTTTGCCCATCACCTATGGCAGAACGAACAGCACGCTTAGTCATTGTGCTCCAGACGCTGCCCCGCTGAATCCTGTGGGCCTGGGGGGAGAGAACTGAGTCATCTTTGTGCCCTCAGTGGATTTGGATTTGTTTTCATTAGTTCATGCTTCCTCTCGCCACTTCCTCGCTCCAGTTTACTCTCCTGCCCATTAGTCTGGTCCCTGCCTCTCATTACGACCTGGAGCTAGCATGACCTGTGGCCTGACCAGTCACCCCAAGTCACAGTGTGGTGGGCTTGCTCACTCTCAACTTGTACTCAGCGCTGTACACAGGTGCCCCACCTCTGCCTGCCAGCCTTCATTTGTTCAGCATCGGCAGTGACACTCTACTACCCCTGCAAAACAGCAATACCACTTGTCAATATTAGATATTAGTCCGTTTTTTCTGTCTTTTGACTCGTGACAAGCTAGTACCAGGAACAAAGAAAGCAACTAGCAGAATTGGGGCTGGTAGGGAGGCAGACTGAAAGGAGGGAGAGGACAGATTCAGGAGGAAGGAAGGCACAGTGGGAAAAGCAGGAGAGAGAGAAGCGCATGTTCACGTGGGAGGGAAACATGGTTTCAGGGAAAAGGAGAAGGGCCACCAATGGTTAGAGATGACTGGGGTGGGGGCCGTGGGACAGGCCCTGAGCCCAGGTTTGCAGCAGATGTTCTCACTGATGTCAGTACCTCTAAGGTTACTCCCCTGGGTACAATTTTATAAAATCTGTATTGAGATTAAATGTTGGCGATAACTTAGGTGAAGAGCTTATTTCCTCATGTGTGCATAAATTCTTCACTGAAGAAGACGGACCGGAGGCTGTGCTGTGGAGTACCCAAGGACTGGGCTTGCTTGAATCTGACCCGACTACGCCAAATGCCTGCTCTTCCTTCCGGTTCATGTTTATCAGCTCGTATCAAACACAGACCCACTCATTTGCGCACAATCCTTTCAGGGAATAAGATGTTGTATTTTTATAATTAAAAGAATTAAAAGCTATAAAACAAAGCACATTGACAGATATTTAGTCAGTGCCTACCTTGTGTGGGGTACTTGAGTCTCCTGCTATTATTAAGTAATACCAGGTCATCTCTGCTTTTAAGGAGTTTCTAAACCCTTTTGGGTGATAAGACAATGTAAGCACTTGAAAAGTTTAATTAAAAAGTCAAGATTTAAATACCTGATGACAAAAATAGAGGATATGTCACAAGGCACAATATAACTAATTGCACCTGAATGGCATATATAAACTATTTCAGAGGTGGAAAAGAGTCCCTGACATTGAGAAAACAGGAATTTCTTTTTTCTTTTTATTGGGGGGATGGAGGGACAGGGTCTTGCTCTGATGCCCAGGCTGCAGTGCAGTGGTGCCATTACAGCTCACTACAGCCTTGACCTCCCAGGTTCAAGCGATCCTCCCACCTCAGCCTCCTGGGCAGCTGGGGCTACAGGTGTGCACCACACTTGCTAATTTTTGTATTTTTTGTAGAGACAGGGTTTTACCATGTTGCCCAGGCTGATAAACTCCTGGGTTCCAGTAGTCCTCCGCCTTGGCCTCCCAAAGTGCTAGGAACCACCATGCCTGTCCCCAAATTTCTTATCATTAAAAGCTGATTAACTCATTGAGGCCGCCATATCATTGTTTCTCAAAATGTGTTCCATGCACCACCACCCCCATGCAAATCACCTGGGATGCTTATTTAAATACACGTTCCTAGGCTTACCCTTAGATTACGATTCATTAGGGCTGGGGTGGGGCCTACAAACATGCGACTTAATGGGTTTCCCAGGTGGTTTTTATGCACTAAAGTTTGTGATCCACTGTCAAGTGACTTGGCAGATATGTTCCTCAAAATCACCAGTGTGTATTTTTATACCAGATACCATGAGTCCCAGTAGTTTTTTTTTTTTTCAGACAGGGTCTCACGGTGTCTCCCAGGCTGGAGTGCAGTAGTACAATCATGGCTCATTGCAGCCTTGAACTCCTAGGCTCAAGCAACCCTCCCACTTCAGCCTCCAAGTAGCTAGGATCGCAGGTGTGCACCACCACACCTGGCTAATTTTTTAATTTTTTTTTTATTTTTGTGGAGGTGGGGGCTCCATGTGTTGCCCAGGCTGGTCTCACCTCCTGGATTCAAGATCCTCCAGCACTGGCCTCCCATAGTGCTGGGATCATAGGTGTGAGCCACCATGCCCAGCTGCTTCCCTCCACCACCCCCACCCATTGTTTTTTAAAAGGAGGCAGGGTCTTACTCTGTCACCCAGACTGGAGTGCAGTGGTATGATCATAGTGCACTTTTTTTTTTTGTAGAGACAGGGTCTCACCGTGTTTCCCAGGCTGGTCTTAAACTTCTGATCTCAAGAAATCCTCCTGCCTCGGTCGCCAAAGTGCTGGGATTTACAGACATGCTATTGCACCTGGCCCACACATTTTCTAAAGGAATCTTTAGCCAGAGCTTGCTATAGACTGACTTGTGTTGCCCTAAAATTCATATATTGAAGTCCAGACCCCTAGTGTGAAGGTAGGACATTTAGGGGAGATTAAGGTAAAAGGAGTTCATATAGGTGGATCCTGATCTGATTTAGTTACTGGCCTTAAAGAAAAGAAGGAGAAAGAGATCTCTCACCACGCACGTGCACCAAGGAGAGGACATATGAGGACACAGCGAAAAGACAGCTGTCTGCAAGCCGGGGGCAAAGCCTTCACCAGGAAGCAGGCGTTGTCACCCTAACCTTGAGACTGCTCAGCCTCCATAATCGAATGGACCAGTTATTTAGCGCGTGCGCCTGTGTGTGTGCACGCACGCTTGTGCGTACACACGTGCTCTTGCATACACACACGCATAATACTGGTTTTGTTTTTCTGGAGAACCCTGACTAATACAGATTTTGGATCCAGGAAATGGGTATTGCTGTAACAAATCTCTAAACATGTGGAAGAAGCTTTGGAACTGGGTAATGGATATAGGCTAGAAGAGTTTTGAGGTGGATGCTAGAAATACGGATGTTAAGGGCAATTCTGGTGAGGTCTTAGTTGGAAATGAGGAACATACTGAAAACTGGATGAAAGGTGATCCTATAAAGCAGCAAAGGATTTGAGTAAACTGTGTTTACTGTTTCATGGAAGGTAGAACTTGCAAGTGATTAAACTGGATATGTAACTGAAGAGATTTGTAAGCAAAGTGTTGAAGGAGCAGTTTGGTTCCTCCTGATGGCTTATAGTAAAATGCAAAAGGAGAAAGATGAATGGAAGAAGGAATTGTTAAGATAAAAGATGAAGATTTAGATTTAGAAAATATTTAGACTATTCATATTGCAAAAAATAAGTATTAAGTACATTTTGAAGAAAATACCAAAGTTATGGCTGGACTCTCATTTGATAAAGCGCTTATGAAATTATATGAGCAGAGACACTGCCAGTTTGAACTGTAGTGGATGGAAACAGGATGAAAGGAAGGAGAGAGGCTGTTGGACTTCTTAGCTTTGACCAGCTGGGATGATGGAGCTGTTTGGCCACTAACATGCACTATTCTTCAAGAAGAAAGAAAAATAACCTTGAAAGTGATTCAGAGATCATTAGGTCCACCTCCTCAGTTTCAGCAGGCCAGATGGCCTTTGCACAGAGCCTTGTGGGCAGAGCCATGGGGGCAGGATCCCTGCCAGAGTTAGGAGGGTGATGCTGACACCCCAGTAGGCCTGGAGGACAGGATATCAAACCAAAGAAGACTCCACTCAAGCCTCAAAATTCAATGGAATTTTCTTTGCGAGATTTGGGATTTGCTTGGAACCTGTCACCACTTTCGTACTTCCAGTGTCTCCTTTTTGGAATGGGAATGTCTATTCTATGCCTGTCCCACAATTGTATTTTGGAAGCACATAACTTCTCTAGTTTCACAGGTTCACAGCTGGAGAGCAGTTTTGCTTCAGGATGAATTGTACCTCAGGTCCCATCCATACTGGATTTAGGTGACAATTTAAATGAGATTCTGGACTTTAGAGTTGATATTGAAATAAGTTAAGACTTTGGGGGTTTTGGGAATAGAATGAATATATTTTGCATGGGAGAAGAACATGAATCTGAGAGTGGCCAGGAGTCCTGTGGACTGAATTGTGCCCCCACGTCACCCCCAAAATTCATATTGGGAAGTCCTGACTCCCAATGTGACTGTATTTGGAGTTAGGACTTACAGGGGGGAGTTAAAATTAAATGAGATCTTAAGGGAGGTCCTAATCTGATAGGACAGTTGGCCTTATAAGAAGACAAGGACTAACTAACGCCTGTGATCCCAGTGCTTTGGAAGGCCAAATCACAAGGTAAGGAGATCAAGACCATCCTGGCTAACAAGGTGAAACCCCATCTCTACTAAAAATATAAAAAATTAGCCGGGCGTGGTGGCGGGTGCATGTAGTCCCAGCTACTCAGGAGGCTGAGGCAGGAGAATGGCGTGAACCTGGGAGGCGGAGCTTGCAGTGAGCCGAGATCGCGCCACTGCACTCCAGCCTGGGTGACAGAGCAAGACTCGTCTCAAAAAAAAAGGCAAGGAAAGAGCTCTTTCTTCATGCACATACACTGAGTAGAGGCCACCTGCAAGCCAGGAAGACAGCGTTCCCCAGAATCTAATCATTCTGGCGCCCTAGTCTTGGACTTTCAGCCTCCAGAGTATGAGGAAACAATTTCTATTATTGGAGCCACCCAAGTCTGTGGTATTTTGTTATCGTAGCCTGAGCAGATTTAGAGTGTATATTTAAAAGCCATTAAAACCGTTTTTAAAGATTTTATTTTAAAAATATATCTAATTCAGGAAGCTGGGCACAGTGGCTCACCCCTGTAATCCCAGCACTTTGGGAGGCCAAGGCGGGAGGATTGCCTGAGCTCAGTAGTTCAAGACCAGCCTGGGCAACACGGTGAAACCCTGTCTCTACTAAAATACAAAAAAAAATGGCCAGGTGCAGTGGCTCATGCCTGTAATCCCAACAGTTTGGGAGGCCAAGGTAGGCAGATCACCTGAGGTCAGGAGTTCAAGTGCAGCCTGGCCAACATGGTCAAACCTCATCTCTAATAAAAATGCAAAAATTAGCTGGGTGTGGTGGCAGGTGCCTATAGTCCCAGCTACTCGGGAGGCTGAGGCAGGAGAATCACTGCCTCGGGAGGCTGAGGCAGGAGATGGAGGCTGCAGTGAGCCTAGATTGCACCACTGCACTCCAGCCTGGGTGACAGAGCAAGACTCCATCTCAAAAAATAAGTAAATAAAGAAAATACAAAAAATTAGCCAGCCATGGCAGCATGCATCTGTAGTCCCAGCTACTCAGGAGGCTGAGGCAGGAGAATCGCTTGAATCCAGGAGGTGGAGGTTGCAGTGAACCAAGATAATGTCACTGCATTGCACTCCAGCCTAGGCGACAGAGCGAGACTCCATCTCCCAAAAAAACCCACAAAGCCTTCAACCCAGAAGAAATTAGCAGATTCTTGAAAACTGACAGAATTGAGATGTAAAGCCCCAGACATTGTAGTTAAGCCATAGGTTCTCAAAGACCAGTCCCAGCTTACATTTTTCTACGACTTAGATGTTTTTCCAGAACAGCCATGATAAATTGATGACACAGAATCTCTAGAAGTATGAAGTAGACCCAGCCACCACCTCAGCCTCTGCAAATGTGGAGCTTATGTCATGCACTGAATTGCTAGTCGTGCTGATGACAGACGTCAGAGTGGCAGGCAGTGCCTGCACGTGTGGAATTGTAACACTGAACAAGCAGGGCTGAGGACATGTTTTCAGAAAGCCATTTTCTTTGTCTCATGCCACCCCTTAAATCGTCATTTATTCTTTCAGAAAGTATTTATCAAGTCTCAGGTATTGTTCTAGTCTCTGGGGTTAAAGCAGGAGGCAGGACAGATTACTTTCCTTCCCTTGTGGAGTTTGCAGTAGTTGGGGAGACAGACAATAAAATAGTAGTTATGGCCAAATGCAGTTGCTCAGCTCTTCTAATCCCAGCACTTTGGGAGGCTGAGGCAGGAGGATCACTTGAGTCCGGGGGTTTAAGACAAGCCTGGGCAACATAGTGAGACCCTATCTCTATAAAAAAGAAAATAGTAGTTTTGAGTGAAGGGATAGAGGAAATGGTCTGGGACATGGTATTTGAGGGTTCCTGGCATTGATGAGTGAGTCAGGAGCTGAGTGGGCAGTGTCTTACTGGGTTTCCTCAAGTCGAATCACACACACAGGCACATTCTGTAGGCTTGCATGCATGCTTGAGTCATAGCTGAGATTCCTTTGATCCAGTGATTCCTAAATTAAGTCATATAAAACACTGCTCAGGACTTGTGCATTAAGCCTTTTTATTTGCTTAAACACAAATACCACTGTGGCTTCACTGTGGCTTTCGCTGGGTCCAGGCGTCGAGCCTCCTGATTCAGTGAGTGCTTTAAAAAGGGGGTGATGTGGGCGACACAACCTGGGGCCAGCCTCCTTTCCAAGGAGCTTGCCAAGCTTTTCTGCCTCAGAGGGGCCCCTGTTCACAGATGCCACCTCCAAATGCTCAGAAACTTCTAGATTGGTTTGGATTAAGAAACTCATCCTTTAAAATATAAACAACCTTTTTGGATGGTAAGATCACTCACATTATGAATTATTTCATTGTGATTGAATGATACAGCTTTTATTTATTACCTGGCAAGGCACTTGGAGCCTTGAGGCAATGAGATTTTCATCAGAAAAACAAAGTAATCTGGAAGAATGGGGTCCTCACATTGAGGACAGACCTGGGGCAGTGGAGGGGGGTGTGTGGGGGATTTGGGTGGTGAGGGGATGTGATAGCACAGGTGGGGATGGGCAGCAAGGGAGAGGAATTCCAACGAAGAGGAACTTTGCCCCACAGTTTTGCCATCATCCCACTCTGCACATCATCTCACCGTCTGCCTGAAGGCCCCATGCGGAGTACCCCCAGAAGAACCCAGAGCCATCCTGGGAGTTCCCACCGCACAGGTTTCCTAGCCTTTGCTCCACGCAGGCAAGCAGCTTTACCAGGCGGGAGAGCCAGGCCCCCGCCGCAAGACCTGTGGCAATTCCAGGGGACTTTCTGACTTTCCAGACCTAAGTGGAGGGGACCTGACTCTGTCAGGACTGTAGTTCAAGCAGGCTTGGCATCCGCAAGGGCCTTCTCAGGTCAGAAGCAGGTTCTCAGGGGAATCAGTGAGCCCGCAAGACCCTCAGCCCAGGTTCTGTGGCTGCCTGAAAGTCCGCATGAACCCAGGTGGGCACCTGTGTGTTGTGAGACAACAGCACAGCCATTTTGTTTTCAGCTTTTGGCAAATGGTGTCTATTTCGTACATTCCTAGAAACATTAAAATACCATGCCCATTTTGACAACAGTAGAAGTAATTGCCTCCTTCTGCTTAGAAAATGTAAAAGAGAAAAACAATGCCAAGCTTCTTTTTGGTTTCAACCTCTAGGTCTAAAATGATGGCCTGTGGAGTCCGTCTGTCTTTTAGTTTATAGTAATGATCATTGGTAGGGGCTAATTGATATAACTTCCCTTGAAATCTGCTGGTTGGTGTTTTACCAGATGAAATCTATGGGAACAGCTTGATTTCTACTGTGATCGACAGCTGCAACTGCTCAGACTCCAGTGACATTGAGCTGAGTGATGACTGGGCTGCCAAGAAATCTCCCAAAATCTCCAGAGCTAGCAAATCACCCAAACTCCCAAGGTAATCTCAGTCTTTGGGGAGATCGTCCTTTCTTGTGCCTCTGAATATGTGTGTTTGTGCCTGCAACAGAATCGCATTGAAACTGACCAGAAGAGTCAAAGAGCAACCTCCCTGCCTTTTCTTCCAGAAGATTCCAGCTGGAATAATTACAACTTCTATTTGTTTTGTTTTGTTTCCTTCGGGATAGACAAAGATACCCAGTAGAAGTTTGCTACACCCTCAGAACTTCTCTAGGGGTTAGCAGTGATGGTGGGTGGCAGAGGGGTGGCCATAGTTCCCGGGCTTATATGTTTTTTCTTATAGTTTGAGAAAAGGAAGAAAAAGGTTCCCCTGTGGATGTAACATGTTGAAGAGAATGCCAGATAAGATGCCTGTAATGCTGGAGCCGGGCACAGTGGCTCACGCCTGTAATCCCATCACTTTGGGCGGCCGAGGCGGGTGGATCACGAAGTCAAGAGATCTGGACCATCCTGGTCAACATGGTGAAACCCCGTCCCTACTAAAAATACAAAAATTAGCCAGGCGTGGTGGCGGGTGCCTGTAGTCCCAGCTACTCAGGAGGCTGAGGCAGGAGAATCACTTGAATCCGGGAAGTGGAGGTTGCAGAGCCGAGATTGTGCCACTGCACTTCAGCCTGGCAATAGAGCAAGACTGCACCTCAAATAAATAAATAAATAATAAATAAATGCCTGTAATGCCGTAATTGGGAAACATCAACACATCGCATCCACTGTAGAACCTTTTTCTTCACTAAGATTTCTAGTTTTAATTCTGTGATTTTTTTTCTGATGCCATGAAAAACTAAGGTATAAGTTACATACAGATACACATCTGTCCAAATCGTAAACACCTAGCTCATTGTACAAGGGCTATCCCAGTGTCTTCCCCCAAGTTCAAGATAAAAGACATGTCATCATCCCAGAAAGTCTGCCTGTGCTCCCTCCATTTGATACCCATTCCCTAGAAGTAATCACTCTTCTGACTTCCATCATCAGCTTTGCTTGTTCTTAAACTTCATATGATATGTCAAACGATATGTTCCCTTTGTATCTGGCTCTTTTTTTTTTTTTGCTCAGTGTAATGATTTTGAGAGTCATCATGTTGTTGCATGTATCAGTAGTTTGTTTTTCTTTATTGCTCCGTGGTATTCCATTGTAATGATTATACTACAATTAGTTTACTCTGTTTACCAATCAATGGATATTTGTAGTTTCCAGTTTGAGGCTATTATGAACAAATCCATGATAAACATTCTTATACAAGTCTTTTTGTGGACATGTGCGCTCATTTCTCTTGGATATAAACTTGGGAAAGGAGTTGCATGGTCATGGGTCAGATACATGTTAAAGTTTATTAGAAACTGCCGAGCAGTATTCCAGGGTAGCCGCACCCACGTAAATCCCTACCAGCAATTTCCAAGAGAGTCCCAGTTTCTTCCATCCTCAGCAGCGGCTCTGTTGTCATTTTTTAGAAATAATTCTACCTTGTTCTGATAGGTGTAGTGGCATCTCATTTCAGTTTAATTCTGATATCTCCAGTGATGGATGCTGCTTCGTTTGCATGTTTCTTGGCCACTTGGCTGTCTTCTTCTTTTGTGAAGTGTCTGTTCAAGTCTTCTGCCCAATTTATTATTGGGTTGTTTTATTGAGTTATAAGAGTTCTTTCTTTCTTTCTTTCTTTCTTTCTTTCTTTCTTTCTTTCTTTCTTTCTTTTCTTTCTTTCTTTTCTTTCTTTCTTTCTTTTCTTTCTTTCTTTCTTTCTTTCTTTCTTTCTTTCTTTCTTTCTTGTCTCGCTCTGTTGCCCAGGCTGGCGTGCAGTGGCATGATCTCGGCTCACTGCAACCTCCACCTCCTGGGTTCAAACGATTCTCCTGCCTCAGCCTCCCGAGTAGCTGGGACTACAGGCTTGTGCCACATGACCGGCTAATTTTTTGTATTTTTAGTAGAGATAAGGTTTCACCATGTTAGCCAGGATGGTCTCAATCTCCTGACCTCATGATCCGCCTACCTCGGCCTCCCAAGGTGCTGGGATTACAGGTGTGAGCCACTGCAACTGGCCCAAGCTCCTGTGTACCCTCCCCTCCCTTTAGAGCAATCACTACAGGGGCATCTGAATGTCTCATTCTTTTTTGTTGTTGTTTTTTCGAGCTGGAGTCTTGCTCTGTCGCCCAGGCTGGAGTGCAGTGGCGTGATCTTGGCTCACTGCAACCTTCACCTCCTGGGTTCAAGTGACTCTCCTGCTTCAGCCTCCTGAGTAGCTGGGACTATAGGCAAGCGCCACCACGCCCGGCTAATTTTTGTATTTTTTAGTAGAGATGGGGTTTCACCATATTGGCCAGGATGGTCTCAAACTCCTGACCTTGTGATCCGCCCGCCTTGGCCTCCCTAAGTGCTGGGCTTACAGGTGTGAGCCACCGCACCCAGCCAAGAGTTCTTTCTTCTAGATTTGAATCCTTTGTCAGATATCTGTATGGCCATATAGTCCAGCACGTGGCATTCTTCTTTTGTGGTTAGTGCTTTCTGTGTCCTGTTCGGGATGTCTTTGGTTACCTAAGGTCATGAAGCCTTTCTTCAGTTCTCTTCCAGCAGCTTTCTAGTTTTAGCTTTCATGCTTATGGATTAATTTTTGTGTTTGGTATGAATTAGAGGTAAATGCTCATTTTTAAATATGCAGATATCCAGTTACTCTAGCAATCTGATTGATGTCTTTTTTCATCTTTGTTCCAGAGCTTGTTAAAATTGCATGTAACATTATGAACTTTCCTATATTTCCAAAGTGCTTTTTTCCCATTATGTAAGCAGAGAGGACATCTAATGCATGCAGCTAAATCCTTCACCTTTAAACGTCCTCTTCAGGTTGCCGTCTTCCTGTGGCTGGACCTCCTCCTGTTGTCCTTTCCCCATTTGGACCCTCCACACAGCAGCCAGGCTAATTGTCCCACATCATAGCTTTAGGGAGCTCAATCTGCCATCCTCCCACTCCTCAGGAGCCCAGAGTTTCTCATCAAGCTCAAAACCAGTATATATGAGACTTAATGCATTTTTTCATAGACTGTTTTAAACCTTACCATACTCATTTTAATCACACTGTCTTTGGGGTAGACTGTCATTAAACATGTGTGTCTCCATGTTACAAATAAAGGGACTGAGAAGCAGAGATACAACATGGGATCAAAAGGCAGCCAAAAAACTTTACTAATTTGATTTAAATATTGCAGATGGTGAAATGCTAGATAAATTTGTTGAAATTCACACTGTTGCAGAAGAAATTATAAGAATCACTGGCATTAGGGTAAGAAATGACTTGTTCCACCTGCCATTTTCCCAGGACTGATTGTGCAGGCCCCTGGCAGAAGGCCATTTCCACGCTTGCTCCAAGGCAACAGAGAGTGAAAGACAGTTAATTCTTTGAGTTCCTTACAAATGGATCGCTGGATCTCATTTCAGTGTATACTAAGTATATTTTGAGATGGGGTCTTGCTCTGTCATCCAGGCTCAAGTGGAGTTGTGTAATCGTAGCTCATTGCAGCCTTGAACTCCTGGGCTCAAGCGATCCTCCTGCCTCAGCCTCCCAAGCAGCTGGGACTGCAGGTGTGTGCCACCACACCCAGTTTCTCAATATATTTTAAAATGTATATTATTCAATGTAAAGTTGTCATTCTTTCCTCATATTCATAAAGCAAAAGCAAGGGGAGAGCTTTGTTAAATTCGGGCACTGGCTGCAGGGTGAGAACCCAACACCCAGGCTGGCTGTCCAGAAAAAGAAAGGACTGCTGGAGTCAGGGCCATGCTCACCATTCCCGCCACGGATGCCTGACCCCTCCTGGCCTTGCCTCCCCAGGATCAGCATTGAGGCCCGCAAGTCACCCAAGCTGCCCCGGGCTGCTCAGGAGCTCTCCCGGTCCCCACGGTTGCCCCTGCGCAAGCCCTCTGTGGGCTCGCCCAGCCTGACTCGGAGAGAGTTTCCTTTTGAAGACATCACTCAGGTAGGAGCCCCCAGTTACCCTGCCTTGCTCCCCTCCTCCTGGGGGCTATGCCCAGAGGGCCCCTTCCTACCCGCCGCCTGCACTGCTCACTGCCACCATGGGTCCCTGAGCTCTGCTCCACATCCTGCACACCACCTACTACCTCAGGAGTAGCCCTCAGGTGGAGCTCTGGCTTCTCCACCTGTGCCCCTCAGCCAGTTCTGATCTTGCAGTGACGGTGGGAGAGAACCTCCCACTTCCCATCACAGCTCCCACCGTCCAGCCCTGCCTGCCTTTCCCTCCTGGTCCCTCAGTGCCCCCTCACCCTCCGGGTGCTGCAGCCACACCTGGTTCTCACCTGTCCCATGCCTTGCCCTGCCTAGATTGTCACCACCCCACCTCCTCCTCGTTTCTGCCCCATGCTTCCAGATGGAACTCCACCACCACCTCTGCTGTGACGGCCTCCTACCCTGGTTTGCCGGGAGAGGCTGACACACCTGGTGTAGAGCTACCTTATGACATTGCTCAGTGACTTCTTTATATACAGATCATTACAAGCTTTATCTCCTCCATCAGGTTTAAGCTCCTTAAGGGGCTGTATTTTGTCCATCTTTATTTTTGCCCTTGCATACATACCTTAGGCAAAATAATTTCTTAAATTTTTAAAAATTTAATTGAATGAGAAAACAAATGATGGGTAGTTTCAGGACATACTGGTACCAATGCAACCGATGTTTTCAGGCGAAATATCAAAGATAAAAATGGATTCAGAGTTAGATCCCTTTCTACGCCTCTTTAAATCACACACCTGTGGACATACATACTGGGACACACCCCCACCTTTCCCCCAGCTCGATGCGCCCCCACTCACTGCTGCGTGCCTGGCTGCCCTCGTTAGCTTCTGATCTTGCAAATGGTAGATGAGGTAGGGAATGGGTGTTTCTTGCAGTGCACACTCGTGGCTTAAGTAATAAATATTAACATTCTTACTGAGTGACCAGTTGAAAATACGGAAATAGATTGTGATTCTTCTTTTTTCTTTTCTTCCTACCGCAGCACAACTATCTTGCTCAGGTCACGTCTAATATCTGGGGAACCAAATTTAAGATTGTGGGCTTGGCTGCTTTCCTGCCAACCAACCTCGGTGCAGGTAAAAATCATGTCCTCTTCTCTCATTGTCCCAGTTGGAACAAACTAAAACGTCCAGTTTCCACCTTTAGTGGCTTAAACTAGGAGATGAACTTTTAAGACAGCAAAAGATTAGCATGTATTTTACCTCTAAACCTTAACTTCACCACAGTGATTTCACAAAAATTAGAATTCTCACTCACATTGGCTTTTTGCCAGTGGCATTTTTTTTTTTTAAATCTTTTAACTTTTTTTTTGAGATAGTGTCTTACCCAGGCTGGAGTATAGTGACACGATCACAGCTCACTGCAGCCTTGACCTGGGCTCAAGTGATCCTCCTGCCTCAGCCCCCAAAGTAGCTGGGATTACAGGTTCGCGCCACCATGCCCGGCTAATTTTTGTATTTTTTGTAGAGACAGGGTTTCACCACATTGTCCATGCTGGTCTCAAACTCCTGAGCTCAAGCAATTTGCCCACCTCAACCTTCCAAAGTGCTGGGATGACAGGCATGAGCCATCACGCCTGGTCGCCAGCGGGATTTTCATTTTTTGCTATAAGCCCTGACTCATAAAAACAATAGAAATATTAAAATGATAGCAATAGCCAAAATTTGTATCACAGCTCGTATAGATTTCTCAAAACTTTGACTTCTAGGCCTTTTGCTGTGGGCGGATTTTTGGTAAACTCCTGAAGAAAGTGGAGAAGAAAGCATTAGAGACTATAAGTAGTTAGCTAAGGCTGAGTGCAGTGGCTCACGCCTGTAATCCCAGCACTTTGGGAATACAAGGTTGGCAGATCACCTGAGTTTGGGAGTTTGAGACCAGCCTGACCAACATGGAGAACCTTTCTCTTCTAAAAATACAAAATTAGCCTGGCATGGTGGTGCCTGCCTGTAATCCTAGCTACTTGGAAGGCTGAGGCAGGAGAATCACTTGAACCCAGGGGGCGGAGGTTGCTGTGAGCCGAGATCACGCCACTGCACTCCAGCCTGGGCAACACGAGCGAAACTACGTCTCAAGAAAAAAAAAAAAAGATTAGCTGACTATTGGTACAATTCTTGGTGGTAAATTTTTCTGAATTTCATTTCTCAGTACTAGATAAATACCCTGTCCATGGCAAGTTTGAAACAGAGGAAAACTGAGCCAAGGGAGTAAAAGCCAGGCCAGAACATGAACATGTATTCGGATCTGCCCTCCTGCCCAAATGAGTTGCAATACCTTGTTATATTTACCCCAGAGACAGTAATGACGTGAAAATGGCAGAAGGTCCATTCCAGAGCAACTTCCTTCTGTTGGGGAGGTCCCTATGTGAGTTGAGGAGCTGTGTTGCTCCCCGCATCTTTCCCAGTTGCAGAATCACTGCATGTCGTACACGTCTGTCTGCAAGGCCAGCTCAGCCAGGGGGGCCGTGGCCCTCCATTTTGAGCGTGCTGTGCGTAACCTACTAAAACTGGTTTTTGAAAAATTCTGAATCTGTGTATGAGTTGTATGAAGCAGTTCATACACAGATCCTTTAAAATAAATTATTCTTACAGATTAGATGTTAGAAAGACCTATTGCTATGAGGCATTTCACAGATTTTTTAAATAGTGCTGCATTTGAGTTTTTCATTTTGAAGTTTCTGAGCTCAAAGAAAAAGAGGAATAAAATTTAAACATGAAACTGACTTAGGGAATCACAATGGACCATCCCTGTACATAATGCAAATAAATCTCTCATAATATTTTCAGCAACCTGGAAACACTCTGATGACCACAAATGCTTGTTGTTCAGTTACTCGTTAGTGCCCTATTGATTAGATAAGGCTGATTTTTAATAACTACTGTTTAGCTATCATGATTATTCCCACATCAGTAAGCTGAGAACTTAGCCATCTGCCTATGGTAAATATTGAAAAAGGGAATGGAAGTGAGAATTTACTAAATGGGTCTTTTCATTCTTGGATGTTGAGAAGGTCCACAGATAAGCCAGTAAAGATCTTACAATGAGAGAGCATGTGAGAGCCTTTGAGACAAATGCTGGCCTTTTTTGGGGGGTGCAGGGAGATAGGGCCTGGCTCTGTCACCCATGCTAGAGTGCAGTGGCGCCACCACAGCTCACTGCAGCCTCAAGCTCCTGCGCTCGAGTGATTCTCCCACCTCAGCCTGTACTAGCTAGGACTGTAGACAAGGCACATGCCACCATGCCCAGCTAATTTTTTAAAATTTTTGGTTGAGATAGGACTTCACTATTTTGTCCAGGCTGGTCTTAAACTCCTGGCTTCAAGCCATACCCCCATCTTGGCCTCTCAAAGTGCTGGAATTACAGGTGCGAGCTACCATGCTCATCCTGATCTTTTTAAAAATAGTATTTTGATCCATAGAGCTACTTTGTCAAGGTAAAAGAATTTTCCACTTGATTCTATTAATACTAGAGAACAGAAATTAACTATTGAATACTAGAAGGTATGTTATATGTGGTACCCCATTAAATAATCTTTTCAAAGACAGTATATGGCACTCTAGTGAACTTAAAAAGTGAGTGCTGTTCCCCAGGTTGGATAATTTGTTTTCTTTAATTAGAATGATCTGGCCCATGAAATTTTTTTATTTTGAATTTTTGGCATTTTAACAATACACAGTAGATTCTACAAAATTCAAAGCATTCAGAGGGGTCTATAGTAAAAATCTCTGTCATTCTCACCATCAGCCACCTACTTTTCTTTCCTGGAGGTAACTGATGGTATTTTTCTAATCCCTCCTAGAATTTTTTTAAAAATTGCTTTGTCAATGTGAACAACAAAGAATAACACTTTAATACATTCATTCTTAAGTCATATGGAACCACACAGTATTTTTAAACCAAAATTCATATTATCTTTCCTTTGTGGACAAGAGAGAGAAACACATGCCTAGGGCCTTTCCTGCTATTGGGCAGGAGAAGTTACCTTAACCCATACCAGTCCATGGGCCAGCCCCGCAAAGATGCTTCGACAAAGGAGGCCTGCTGTGCCGCAGTCATGCTGCAGGTCAGCCGCTAAGTGTTAAGGTGACCGCCATGGAGCTAGAATAAAGAAGCTTTGTGCTACCTGTCTCACAGGAGAGACTATTGAACACAAAAGCAAGTTCACAGGGCAGTTTCACCCCGACTTTAACTACTGTGAAACTTAAATTCAGATTCATTATATTTAAACTTATTTTGTCTCCTCTAAATATTTTAGTTGCAATCTAGGCCTTCTCCTACATGTCCCTGTTAATCAAATTAAATCTTGAGGTTTTAAAAAAACAACTGTGTGGAAATTCCCTATAAATCTCTATCCTGATGGTTAGATTAAAATTGAAAGCCAGTAAACCAAGGTTCCAGCCGAAATGAAGGCTATGTTTTATTCCTACATGAAACCATGCCACCCCCATCTCAACATTGCTTTCACACAGTTTCTTGGTTGCCCAAGCTTCCCTTGTTTGGCAGTCTGGTTGTCACAACTATTTCCATTCAATCATCCTTCTGACTGCAAATGAGGTTTTTAAAAAATATGTTTTTATACCCTAGCTTATTCCAAAAGAAATGATTTGTGTCTAAAATGTTTTTAACATTTGAAATTTGTAGTTCTGTAGACAAACCATTGGCAAGGAGGCCAAGCTAGACCGGGAATCTGCTGTTACTGAATCCAGAACTGTGGCTAGTATGGTCGCATTGAGTACTAGGGAGAAATGAAGAGCTCCTCTCAGCCTCTGGGCCCTGCCTACACAGATCTGTCTTCTGATGGCAGGGAAACTGCAGTGCGCTCTTCTTCCTGTGACTCTCTTGACACTTTGGCTCTGCTCTGGTGTGTCTCTGTTAACTGTGCCCTTCTTTTTCCCCACCAGTAATCTATAAAACCAGCCTCCTGCATCTCCAGCCGCGGCAGATGACCATTTATCTCCCAGAAGTTCGGAAAATTTCCATGGACTATATTAATTTACCTGTCTTCAACCCAAATGTTTTCAGTGAAGATGAAGATGATTTACCAGGTGTGTTCACATACATCAACGTGTTTGTCACGGTCCCTCTGTCAGTAGATCATGCAAGGGGGACAGAGCGGCAAGTTGTTGAGGATTTCAGTCTGCTACCTGGGTTTGGAAAAGGTATCCCTGCCTCAGTAAGGTTGGTAGATGTGATGTTGTGTCCCAGGGGAAAAGTCACAGGTTGGCACCAGTGTTGGCAGGAGGGGAGCTGCTGGAGCACAGATGGTTCCAGTAGCAGCGGCGCCTTGTGTTTTCGGAGCACAGTTCTAACATCTGGCTTTATCCTCACAGCTATCCTCTTAGTCTTGTGTCTGGATTCAGATAAGTTTGCAGGACTGATTGGGACTAAATAAAATCAGAACTGAGACTCAATCTCATTGATCTAGGCCAGCTTTCATCCTTTCAGTCCCTGCTGAGATAGTGTCTCACTCCAGCATTCCCGTGGTGCGCACAGAGCCCAGTTTCTCAAATCTGCCGTGTCCAGGACGCAAAAGCCTTTACCTGGAACTACCTCTCTTCCACCGCAACCGCATGTCTCAGTGCACAGGGGCCTGGTCTGAGTTCAAGATAAAATCTGGTAAACAGTTTTTAAATTCCAGTTTTCAAATGGTAAATATCAATATCCATAGCATCTTAAGTTAATGTGTTTCCCAGTGGGGGGATTCTTAAAGGATCCTATTTTGATTAATAGATTACAATGACTTCCAATTAGTCTGGCCAGTTAGTTGTGTGTAACTATTTCACTAGAGGGTACTTGAAAATAACTTGCTTTTCTAAGTAAAAGGCCACCTGAGATTTTATAGATACACAGACTCCTCTACTTCCAACTAAGTGGGCTCTGGAAGTCTCTTGTTTCTGAGCTAGAGGAACCCAGACATGGACCGTGACTTCTCCAGTATCTGGATGTCTGTGACCAGAGGGACTGGTTCTTGCAGTGGACATAGAGGGCCACCCATTTCAGCTTGGGCCCTCCTCCTCAGCTTGGCTCTGAACTTGAGAGAGTTGTTTACCTTCTCTCAGCCCAGTCTTTTTAACTGAAAAAAGAAAAAAAAATGATTTATACTGCACTTTCCAACAATAGCCATCTTGCTTCTCTGTTGGTGACCTCTCCTGCATGGGTGAGCAAATCTCCTAGGCTTATGTGGTCCTAATAGGCCAAGCTTACAGCCACATAAATACCTGTAGTTTGGTGAAGCCTCCCATACCTGAGCTTTCTAGTGCATCCCCTTCTACTTCAGAATCTTGGAATTAGAAGTATCTTTTAAACTTTCCCCTTAACGCTTTCCCTGTTCTCCCAAAATGCGAGGAATACAGCCCTCTCCAAGGTTCAGCTGTTGCTGCAGTTGTCGTTATTGTCTGTGGTTCTCAATGAGAGGAGGGAACATATTGTCTCAGGGATTACATTTAATGATGGTGACTCAGTGAAGAGGCTCTTCTTCCTTAAAGGGGAAGATGCCTGCCATCAGTGTTTCATACAGACGAGAGAGCTTCTCCAAGAGGGATCTGAACAGGAATCATAGGAAACCTGAGACAGACCCAAATTTGTGTGGCCAGGGGAGAGTTATGTCTTACTAGGACACCCCAAGGAAGGGCCAGCTTAGCTTTTGATAAACTAGCTGGCTTGATTCTGTAGTTCTTTTGATGAGAAGTCAGCCAGTGTCACATTTCCTAATCATGGACTAGCTGCCACACGGTACTTACACCATGCCTCAGATTTCTGGATCAGTGGCAGTTTTCTCTAAGGGAAAAGCCACAGGGTAGCACAGTGGGCCTAGAGGAGCCAACTGCAGAGTGCTCAGTGGGCACTTTAAACAGGGTGGTGCAGACAGTGGCTCTGAGCACCTGTCTGTAGATCGCTGTTCAAATGCACGCACGCTCTGTTAAACTCTCACTGTGTACAAATAGGATATATTTATAGGGTTTAATTCAGCATGGCTCTACCTTACATACTGTTTGAAATGCTAAAAAGCAGATAAAGGCCAGGCAGGGTGGCTCACACCTGTAATCCCAGCCCTTTGGGAGGCGAGGTGGGTGGATCACCTGAGGTCAGGAGTTGGGGACCAGCCTGGCCAACATGGCAAAACCCCATATCTACTAAAAATACATAGCTGGGTGTGGTGGCGCTCACCTGCAGTCCCAGCTACTGGGGAGGCTGAGGCAGGAGAATCACTTGAACGCAGGAGAATCACTTGAACCCAGGAGGTGGAGGTTGCAGTGAGCTGAACTCCTGCTACTGCACGCCTGGGCAACAGAGCAAGACTCTGTCTTAAAAAAAAAAAAATTAGGAAATGATCCTTCATATGATACTCAGATTCACTAGAAGATTCTTTTCATTGTTTTTTCTACCACATTTTACATGGTTCTATTTACAGAAACCTAATGTGCATACATTTCTTATACACATCTGTTGCATGACACTTTCCACACTATCCATCCCATAATCATGAATAGACCTATTCAGAGGCCTAGGCACTGCAAGTCCTCAATGGAGGTTTTTCCTGTACCATTGCCCTCTTCTTGCATAAAAGGGTGGGTATTTTATGAATATCACCAGTAAAAAGCTTCTTCAGACATTTAATTATCTGTGATGGTGCCATTGAGGCACTGGTGCCAAGTTTAGAAGGTTCAAAAGTGAGTTAGTCGAAAAGTTCTGACAGTACCCTTAGCTAACAGACAGCAGCAGGCTGCCCTCAAGAACCCATCTCCCTTGTGCGAGCAGGCCAGCTTTCCCCAAGCAGACACGTCTCTGTCTCTGGCAATTTGCATTTTGTTTACAGAAGGAGACTGGATGAGTCCAGACGTATTGCTTATCCTGATCTGGTTTAATGGCAGTGTTTTTGTAAGCAGTTCCTTTTTCTAATTTTCTTCCAGTGACAGGAGCATCTGGTGTCCCTGAGAACAGCCCACCTTGTACCGTGAACATCCCTATTGCACCGATCCACAGCTCGGCTCAGGCTATGTCCCCCACGCAGAGCATAGGGCTGGTGCAGTCCCTACTGGCCAATCAGAATGTGCAGCTAGATGTCCTGACCAACCAGACGACAGCTGTAGGGACAGCAGAACATGCAGGTGACAGTGCCACCCAGTACCCAGTCTCCAACCGGTACTCCAATCCTGGACAGGTGATTTTCGGAAGCGTGGAAATGGGCCGCATCATTCAGAACCCCCCTCCACTGTCCCTGCCTCCCCCGCCGCAGGGGCCCATGCAGCTGTCCACGGTGGGCCATGGAGACCGAGACCACGAACACCTGCAGAAGTCAGCCAAGGCCCTGCGGCCAACACCGCAGCTGGCAGCTGAGGGGGACGCAGTGGTCTTTAGTGCCCCCCAGGAGGTCCAGGTGACGAAGATAAACCCTCCACCCCCGTACCCAGGAACCATCCCCGCTGCCCCCACCACAGCAGCACCCCCGCCCCCTCTGCCGCCCCCACAGCCCCCAGTGGATGTGTGCTTGAAGAAGGGCGACTTCTCCCTCTACCCCACGTCAGTGCACTACCAGACCCCCCTGGGCTATGAGAGGATCACCACCTTCGACAGCAGTGGCAACGTGGAGGAGGTGTGCCGGCCCCGCACCCGGATGCTGTGCTCCCAGAACACGT
Source organism: Homo sapiens (assembly GCF_000001405.40). NCBI lineage: Eukaryota > Metazoa > Chordata > Mammalia > Primates > Hominidae > Homo > Homo sapiens. The sequence goes on from NC_000006.12 coordinate 158,502,404, forward strand.
ACACCCTCCCCGGCCCGGGTAGCTCTGCCACCTTGAGGCTCACGGCCACTGAGAAGAAGGTCCCTCAGCCCTGCAGCAGTGCCACCCTGAACCGCCTGACCGTCCCTCGCTACTCCATCCCCACCGGGGACCCACCCCCGTATCCTGAAATTGCCAGCCAGCTGGCCCAGGGGCGGGGGGCTGCCCAGAGGTCCGACAATAGCCTCATCCACGCTACCCTGCGGAGGAACAACCGTGAGGCTACGCTCAAGATGGCCCAGCTGGCCGACAGCCCGCGGGCCCCCCTGCAGCCCCTGGCCAAGTCCAAGGGCGGGCCCGGGGGGGTGGTGACACAGCTCCCAGCGCGGCCCCCACCTGCCCTGTACACCTGCAGTCAGTGCAGTGGCACAGGGCCCAGCTCACAGCCCGGAGCCTCCCTGGCCCATACCGCCAGCGCCTCCCCGTTGGCCTCCCAGTCCTCCTACAGCCTCCTGAGCCCACCCGACAGCGCCCGCGACCGCACCGACTACGTCAACTCGGCCTTCACGGAGGACGAGGCCCTGTCCCAGCACTGTCAGCTTGAGAAGCCCTTGAGGCACCCTCCCCTGCCTGAAGCTGCTGTCACCCTGAAACGGCCACCCCCTTACCAGTGGGACCCCATGCTGGGTGAGGATGTTTGGGTTCCTCAAGAAAGGACAGCACAGACTTCAGGGCCCAACCCCTTAAAACTGTCCTCTCTGATGCTGAGTCAGGGCCAGCACCTGGACGTGTCCCGACTGCCCTTCATCTCCCCCAAGTCTCCTGCCAGCCCCACTGCCACTTTCCAAACAGGCTATGGGATGGGAGTGCCATATCCAGGAAGCTATAACAACCCCCCTTTGCCTGGAGTGCAGGCTCCCTGCTCTCCCAAAGATGCCCTGTCCCCAACGCAGTTTGCACAACAGGAGCCTGCTGTGGTCCTTCAGCCGCTGTACCCACCCAGCCTCTCCTATTGCACCCTGCCCCCCATGTACCCAGGAAGCAGCACGTGCTCTAGTTTACAGCTGCCACCTGTCGCCTTGCATCCATGGAGTTCCTACAGCGCCTGCCCGCCCATGCAGAACCCCCAGGGCACTCTCCCCCCAAAGCCACACTTGGTGGTGGAGAAGCCCCTTGTGTCCCCACCACCTGCCGACCTCCAAAGCCACTTGGGCACAGAGGTGATGGTAGAGACTGCAGACAACTTCCAGGAAGTCCTCTCCCTGACCGAAAGCCCAGTCCCCCAGCGGACAGAAAAATTTGGAAAGAAGAACCGGAAGCGCCTGGACAGCCGAGCAGAAGAAGGCAGCGTTCAGGCCATCACTGAGGGCAAAGTGAAGAAGGAGGCTAGGACTTTGAGTGACTTTAATTCCCTAATCTCCAGCCCACACCTGGGGAGAGAGAAGAAGAAAGTGAAGAGTCAGAAAGACCAACTGAAGTCAAAGAAGTTGAATAAGACAAACGAGTTCCAGGACAGCTCCGAGAGCGAGCCTGAGCTGTTCATCAGCGGGGATGAGCTCATGAACCAGAGCCAGGGCAGCAGAAAGGGCTGGAAAAGCAAGCGCTCCCCACGGGCCGCCGGCGAGCTGGAGGAGGCCAAGTGCCGGCGGGCCAGTGAGAAGGAGGACGGGCGGCTGGGCAGCCAAGGCTTCGTGTACGTGATGGCCAACAAGCAGCCGCTGTGGAACGAGGCCACCCAGGTCTACCAGCTGGACTTCGGGGGGCGGGTGACCCAGGAGTCCGCCAAGAACTTCCAGATTGAGTTAGAGGGGCGGCAGGTAAGACCTCAGACCAGGTGGCGCTGCGAGCCCAGGAGGCGAGGGTTTCAGTGCTTCGGCCTTCAAGGAGCATTTTTCAAAAGGCCAAATGGGAAATGTGGAAAACAACGAACACCTCTTAGGTGGAGCTCATGGGGTTATGGTTTTTAGTGTGCCCACTGCTGTCTTGTATTTTTTTTTTTCTTTTTGAGACCGTCTCGCTCTGTGGCCCAGGCTGGAGTGCAGTGGCGCAGTCTTGGCTTCCTGCAAGCTACGCCTCCTGGGTTCACGCCATTCTCCCGCCTCAGCCTCCCGAGTAGCTGGGACTACACGTGCCCGCCACCATGCCCGGCTAATTTTTTTTTTTTTTTTGTATTTTTAGTAGAGATGGGGTTTCACCGTGTTAGCCAGGATGATCTCGATCTCCTGACCTCGTGATCTGCCCGCCTTGGCCTCTCAAAGTGCAGGGATTACAGGCGTGAGCTACCACGCCCAGCCCTAATTTTTTTTTTTTTAGAAATGGGAGTCTCACTGTGTTGTCTAGATTGGTCTCAAACTCCTGGGTTCCAAGCAATCCTCCTGCCTCAGCCTCTCAAGATGTTGGGATTACAGGCGTGAGCCAACGCACCTGGCCTGCAGTCATATTTGTAAAGAATACGTTTCTACTTCTGTTCATTGACTTTTCTGTTTTTGGCATCAGATGGTGACTTCCTAAGGAATGTGAGGGTTAGTTTTGCTCACCCTATGCACACACACACATGTATGCACACAGCTTTTCCTTCCCCATTAAATCAGTGGTCACTGGTTACCTTGTTATGCTAGTCAATAGCTGAGCCATGTATTACGGCTTAGTTACATTTCCTTTTTTGTATACTTTTCTTCCCCTAGACATATCAACTTCCTGTTATCTGTCTGTTTGCTCATTTGCCTATTTCTCTGTATATGGAAGTCATTCCCCAGTTCTCGAACCGGATGTTATCTCATGGTGCAGCTGAACACATTGGGTCCTAGTTCTTCCCTGCTCCAGCCCAGAAGGGTTGCTCTGTCCTGCTGCCAACGTCCCCCTTCACCATCCTGTAAAGTCCCTCCCCTCTCTACTTAAATTCACGTTTTCGTTAATTCACTCAATAAATGTTATTGAGAACCTGCCGTGTGCCTGGCAATCCTCTAAGCCCAGGGTTGGCATACTGGCCTTTGGGCCACTCTGGCCAGCCGCCTCTTTTTGGAACAAAGTTTTATTGGAGCACAGCCACGCTCATTCACCTGAGTATCGTCCCTGGCTGTGTTGGCCGGACAACAGCAGAGTTGAGGAGTTGTGGTAAAAACCGTGTGACCCACAAAGCTTAAAATATTTATTATCAGCCCCTCGCAGAAAGTGCGTCAGCCCCTGCTATAGTGCTAGGATCAGGGCAGTGAGGAAGACAGAGCCCCGCCGCTGTGGAACACGCAGACTGGGGACCAGAGGCGGATGAGTGCAGCCCGTGTGCTAGGGCATGGCGTCACTGTCTGATGGGATGTAGGCACAGGAACTGGTGAGGAAGTGGCCAGCAAGTCCCTCCCTGAGGCAGCGGTGTTGGACAGTGGTGGTGCTACTTCTCTTCTGGAGCCTCTGGCCTGTTTGTGTTTCTTTCTGCTTTTCTTTCTCCTTTCTACTTCCTAGGTGAAGAAACCACTTCATTTGGCCTGTAGCATTCACCCCATTCTTTTTTTTTTTTCTTTTTTCTTTTAGATTCAGGGGTACATGTGCTTGTTACATGAGCATTACGTGCATAATGGGGGGTGGGCTTCTAGTATGCCCATCACCCAAACATTGGATGTTGTACCCCACAGGTAACTTTTCACGGATGGAGCTGGAGGCCATTGTCCCCACATTCCAAACCTTGCTCACTGTCTCCATTGTGTTAACATGTTCCTCAGTCCCCTTATTTCCTGCAAACTTGGAGTTAGATATAGAAGCTTCACCAGATTCAGGGTCACTTTTGTTAGCAAAAGTATCTCATAGACGGTGCTGTCTGCTTCCATAAGGAGCCATGCAGACCCGGCTGTCGCCTTGCTCGCCTTGTTCTTTTTTTTTTTTTTTTTTTTTTTTTTTTGAGATGAAGTCTCCTCTGTCGCCCAGGCTGGAGTGCAGTGGCCCAATCTCAGCTCACTGCAAGCTCCACCTCCCAGGTTTACACCATTCTCCTGCCTCAGCCTCCCGAGTAGCTGGGACTACAGGCGCCCGCCACCACGCCCGGCTAATTTTTTGTATTTTTAATAGAGACGGGGTTTCACCGTGTTAGCCAGGGTGGTCTCTATCTCCTGACGTCGTGATCTGCCCACCTCGGCCTCCCAAAGTGCTGGGACTACAGGCGTGAGCCACTGCGCCTGGCCTTTTCACCTTATTCTTTAATGTCTTTGCTTCCCCTGCCCTCCTCCAGGTGATGCAGTTTGGACGGATTGATGGCAGTGCGTACATTCTAGACTTCCAGTATCCGTTCTCAGCCGTGCAGGCCTTTGCAGTTGCCCTGGCCAACGTGACTCAGCGCCTCAAATGAAGAGACTGGTGTGGGGAGGAGAGAGATGCAGAGAGCCTTTGGAAGAGGTCTTCGGAGATGCCAGAGGAGCCCTCTAGGGGTCCGATGCCTGGGAGGACCAGAAGCCAACAGCAAAACTGGAAAAGCCCGGCAGGCCCAGGAGAGGGCGCTGACCTGTGGTCGTCATTTATTTGGTTGGGTTTTATTACCTTTTATTGTCTGTTCTTCTTTTCTTCTTTCATTTCAGTGGCATTTGGAAGCAAAGAGTGCTAGGCACCTGCTGTTCTTTCAGGAAACAGCTTGGCTGTGGTAATGCTCTACTGGGCCCTTCAGAATGAAGACAGTCTGCCTTAGAGCCTGCTATTCTTTTAGACATAGGGAGGATGCATTATCCTGTATTCTCCTCCAACATCACCACTAGCGTAAAAGCAAAAAGCTTTTACAAAACACAGCCAAAAATTCTCAAGATGCAGGTTCTTGGGGAATGGGATGGGGACAGCATTTGATTTACACTGATTATGTTACTCCCCAAAAGGTGACTTAATTAATAAAGGGCATTTGGGCAGACACACTGTGTTGGACCAACAAAGTAGGCTCTTTACAGGGGTGTTCTCACCAGGTAGAAATGCGATTTGCTCACTGAGGATGTTGGGGAAGGGACGAAGGGTAAAGAAGAAACTGCACGTATACACAGGTTCACATCACTCTGCAGACAGCAATGTGACTCAGCGTGTGACTTGTAGCAGCAGTACGAGGGCTACACTCCTCTGCTGAGGATGTCTACATTGAAAGCCTCCACTAGTTTCATCGTTTGTCAAAGTTCCGTAGGATCAGTGATGGTCATTCAGCATGACTGGTTCTGGGAGAAGGTGAGAGACAAAAATGGAAAGATCCTGGCCTGTGGTAGTGGTAGCAGTTTTCTCAAATAATGTGGTGACAGTCACTAGATCCTCACATGCTGAGAAACAGCCTCTACTCTCTCTGCCCCTTTTACTTTTTAATCTGGAATGCATTACTGTAAACATGATCTTTCCCATGAGATACCATGTTCTATGCCTTCCCATTCTAAAAGTGTGGACAACGCTTGATTTGAAACCACTCCTTTTCTCCTCTTGGCTACATTAAAATTCAGTTGACTACAAATGCTTTCTATCAAATTAGAAATGTAACCAAAAAAATGTTAAGTGTTCACCAGGGTATTAAAATACAGAGGAGTATGGTCAAATCTTTGACAAAATTTTCATGATCTTCTCTAACAAAAAAAGTTGTTTATTAACTGTACAGACTGTTTACTAAGGAGCTAAACCACTGAGAAAACGTTATTAAAATTGTAATACCTAGGTAGTTGGTTGATCACAGTTTGTTAATTGTATAAAAAAAAATTACCTAGAATATCTCTTCCCACTTCCTCGTCCTCGTGAGAACCTGTGGGCAGTATTCAAGCCCTGATGACAAAACCCAGTGTTTTTTGTTGTTGTTTTTTGTTGTTGTTTTTTGTTTTTGTTTTTGTTTTTCTCAGTCTTACCTGTGATGTTGTTTAGGATCAGGCCCCTCTCCTGGGCCTGCTGTGCAGGAGCACAGGAACTATCTGCTGGCGTTGGGTTCCAAATTTGCATTTTATTTGGAAACAGACAAGTAGAAGATGCTACAGAAAAGTATTTTCAAATTTAAACGTTTTTTAATCCCCTGTTTTAGTTAAAAAATTGGAAAAGAAACCGACCCATTTTTTTCCCAGATCAAGATGACATGACATCACTCCCAATTCTCTCCAAACCCCAGAGAAATACTGACGAAGTTTTCTGATGTGGCAAAGGATATTTCCCATCTAATACCAGTTTCTCATTTATATTTAACGTATTGGACCTGATATTTTTAGTGGGTGCATTCTTCCAGAAAGAATTCAGCAATGTTATCAGAATTAATTCTTTTATATGAGTTTATGTAGCTTGATATGGTGTTTCAGTGCTTATTGGTTGTGCAATAATGGTTATAGCCTGTTAGATAATCTAAATGCAATTCCCCTGTTTTGTCGTTTAGGAGATAATTATTTATCTTGCTTTTCATAGTGTTCTTAGGAATTATTTTGTTGTTACGTTTTGGTGAGTTATACCCATTTTATTTATTTAGAAAAATAGTATCTTTGTTAACGACTTACATGGTCACAGTATATTTTGCTGCAAGAAATAAAGAGGATATGATAGAAGGTTTTTTTTTTTTTTTTTTTTTTTTTTTGAGACGGAGTCCCACTCTTGTCGCCCAACTAGAGTGTAGTGGCACAATCTCGGCTCCCCACAACCTCTGACTCCAGGGTTCAGGTGATTATTTTGCCTCAGCCTCCCAAGCAGCTGGGATTATAGACACCCGCCAACACGCCAGGCTAATGTTTTTGTATTTTTAATAGAGATGGGGTTTTGCCATGTTGGCCAGGCTGGTCTTGAACTCCTGACCTCAGGTGATCCGCCCGCCTCGGCCTCCCAAAGTGCTGGGATTACAGACGTGAGCCACCACTCCCGGCCCATAGAAGGTTTTTTGCTGGATAATTTGTAACTTTTCTAATTGGGAAAAAATTCCTATTAATCACTTAAAAATTTTTTTTTGTATTTTGTGTTATTGATTATATACAAAGGAGACTTTTTTTTTGAGATAACACTCAAATAGTATTCTCTTCTTTTGAAAATTTTATTTTTATCTGAAAATAACAGTTGATCTGAAATAAAAAGGGGAGACCTATTAGAATGAGAGTAGCCAAGGAAAGAGTTACTAGGTAATAAGCTTCACTTTTTGTGTTCTAATTGTTTTTGAGATATAAAGACCCTGAAAAAGCCCATTTTAGAACCTGTTTAATAAGAGCAAATATAGGGGAAAATCTTTGAAATGAAAGCTACAAATACATGTGAGAAGAAAAAAATGGATTTTTTTAGCAAATAATTAACTAAGCTTCTAAATGCCTAGCTCCCTCCCCCAAAGGCGCTTTCCCCCGATGGAGGCACAGGCTTCTGTCTCGGATGTTTGGCGCACGTGAGTTTGTATGAGTTTGTACCGGAGTGACCCCGGCAGCCACTGCCCACCTCCCCTCTACCCAGGGGCCTGAAAAGAGGGGCTGCCCTCCTGCGCCAAGGCAGACACAAGCTGCGGGCTGTGCGGTCCTAGTAGTGTGACGTTTCAGTTAATAGTGGTGGTCTTATTTTCAACTATGCTTTCATTCAGTCAGTCTCTGTTGACTAAATACGACGAAAATTCATACTTTATGCAGGAGATTTCTAAAAATTTAATGTTTATTAATAGTTTATGAATATCAAGATACCTCATTGAATCCCTAAATTTAAAAGCAGTCCAGTAAAAGGTTAACTGTATAAAGAATCTATGACTTTTTGAGGGAAGTGTGATATATTAACAAATATAACCAATTCTAAATTTGTTTTAGCTCTAACCTCATCAAACCAAAGGCACAGATTTGTGTACAATATACCCATTGAATGTATATCCTGAGAAAAATTGGGGCCAAAGAAGCAGGAAAATCTCAAAGCTCTAATGGCAGCATAAATCAAAGAATTTCACAGGCTAGTGTTTTTATCCATAGCCATTGCTCCCTTGTCAAGTGTCTCACAAGGACATGGAAGAATGTGTTATGTTCATCTTGTAATCATAGCAAAAAGTCTGCAAACCCCAGGGTCAAGCCTGCTCTGCCACAGGGTTGGATGGTGACCTTGGGCAAGTCCCTGGGGCTGGCTAGGCCTCCACTTGTCCATCTGTGAAATGAAAGGATCAGCCTGGACAGCCCTCTAAACTCCCTTACAGCTCTCAGCCTAAGAGCGCAGCACTGAACAGCCTCATCATTCCACTTTTCATGGGAAATATATTTCACACCATTGCCTTTGTGTAGAGAAATATTTCTTTTCCTGTGTTAATGAGCTATGTACTGAATATAAACCAGTGCATTTAAAGTAATATCTTTTGTGCACCTCTAAATGTGTTTGGAATTGTGTTTGTTCTCATAGAATATACAAAAGTACTGATTCTAGGTAAGAAGGAGTCTCCACGGGTGTGCCCTGCTCAGCTGGATGTCCATGAGAACAGCCATGAAATAAGTCACTACTTGTCCCCAAAACCACAGGAATATATACCTAGGTCACCTCAAATTCCTGAGTGTGCTCTGCCATGTTACACGGTCTTCAAATTGAAAAGGTTTCTTGAAAAGGAAAGTTTGGCCCAGCAACTGGAGAAGGAGTCCATGGTGTCGCTGTGTGCCTGTATCATTTGGCCAAGTCAATGGTTGTAAGCAAAGTTAGTGGAGACAAAAATGTGTCCAAAATGTCGTTTGAGTTCCTGGGATTTCTGTAATAGCACACAACTCAGAACTCTTCAGCATTTGTGTGATTCCTTACCTCTGGCTGATAAAACTCTAATGGGTTGTGGCTTACTTTGTTTCCATTTTCTTTGGCTTTGTGCAATTTTTGTGTAACTTTACTTGTACCTATATTTTCTGTTTACAGTTCTTTTTAAGGGGAGGGGTAGGGTTCTAAGATCTTGTTGTTTATTGTAGATAAAAATTTTTTCGTGTTGTAGAAAAGCATGGGTTATGCGTTTGACTGAAAAAGACACTGTATTATTTACCAAAGGGGTATTGTTTTTGCATTTGTTTATAAATGCATTATTTTGGTACTGTAAATTTGGACATAATTTCTGAGTTTATTACTACTGGCATTTTCTTTTTCCCTTTTTTTTTTTTTTAACCGTAAGTGCACGATGCAGGTGCATAGGCCCCAGACCAAACTAGACCACCAGCATGTTCATGTCCAGACCTCGGCAGTGGCGTGCACTGCTTGTGCACCTCAGTTCCTCCAGTGTTGGTTTGTTTGTTTTTTAATTCAGCATCCTGCTGGTTTTACTTTCCAAGCAAGATCTGTTGCGACTCCCAAATGCGTTTTAATGAGCTCATCCTTATTTGCCTTTCTTCTTACGTATTTTGTGTATTAGATTGTGCAGGAGATATTCTAGAAGGCATTAATGGTTTGCATTCAAAACGATGTGGTTTGTCCAAGTTATTTTCTGTCTTTATTACTGAGACGGATTAATCTCCTTATTTTTTTCTTGATGATTTGAAGTTGTAAGAGTTGTCCAGCTATTGCTTAATAAAATTTTGCAGATCAAAAAAGTTGTGTGCAGAATTCTTGAGCCTTGTGAGGAGAAATCACCTCGCTCCATTGGCATGACCTACCCACCCTCCAGTTGCTTCCTGGGTCTCTTGGTAACTGCTAGCAGCTACTGGAGACCCTGAGATCCCGGTCATCATGTTGCCCATTTGGGGAAGTCAGAGATTGTGCTGTCTTCTTGATGATCTGGTTTAGATTTGCTTTTTCATGGCTTTTTAAAAGAGGACTCGATTGGCCGGGCACGGTGGCTCACGCCTGTAATCCCAGCACTTTGGGAGCCTGAGGCGGGCGGATCATGAGGTCAGGAGATCGAGACCATCCTGGCTAACACAGTGAAACCCCGTCTCTACTAAAAATACAAAAAATTAGCCGGGCGTGGTGGCGGGCGCCTGTAGTCCTAGCTACTCGGGAGGCTGAGGCAGGAGAATGGCATGAACCCGGGAGGCGGGGCTTGCAGTGAGCCGAGATCGCACCACTGCACTCCAGCCTGGGAGACAGAGCGAGACTCCGTCTCAAAAAAAAAAAAGAGGACTCGATTAAAAGTGCACCTGTATAGCATCTAAAGATCAGAGATGCCAAATATTAACACCTTTGTTAATTTGTAGGAAACTTAAACCTAGGTTTTAAGCAATTCAACTCTAGGTGCTCATATAACTATTAACTATTGTTGTTACTCATAAGTGCTTAGTGAGCCTGCTTCCTCTGCCCTAAAGTTCCCTATGACCATGGGAGGTGGGAAGGTGGGGCATGGGAGGTTTATCTGTGATAATACATGTGTGCATGTACAGAACTACCTTTTTGGTGTTTTTCAAAGAATAAGGAATCAATTTTGCTCGAACCTAGCTCCCAAAACTCACTGTAGAAGAGAAATAACTGTCTCATGGAGATTGCATTGCAGTTTTCCAAGGATGAAAGATACTAACCACAGTTAAATCTCAACTCCATTATGAAGTGAATACCTTTTGCCACTCCTTTCAGAAGAAAATGGAAGCAGTGAGAGGTTGAAATGATTTCTGGATTCCATAGACAAAAACCAATCCTGAAACAGAATCCAAGATTTCTGGGTCACATTAATGAATAGACCTGGTTTATTCCCAGCTTCTCACTCTGGTGTGTCGTAAAGATTTGCCTGTAATGAGCTCTGAGCTACTTATACTTAGTCATCTCCCATGAAAACAAGTATTACATACAGATGGGCCACCCCTGCCCCTCATCAGGTGAGCTCATCCGCTTTATAGAATGAGATTTAAGTCCTTGTTATTGAATTCTGGAAAGAGTGAACGTTCGGCTGACCAGTTTTATTATTCACCCAGGCTTCACAAAGGAGCCAGTCTGTGTGGATTTGTTTCCCTACACTTCCTAGAAACAGCTGCTCTATGTGCTGAAGAATAAGAAGCCATCCATTGGAAGTGCTGGCTCATTTCTTGAACCCATTTCAGAGTTCCTGTCTGAGCGATCGCTTCAAGTAAAGAAGGCGCCCCAGAGTAAGTCATAGGAATTTTTTTTTTTTTTTTTTTGAGATGGAGTTTCACTCTTGTCGCCTAGGCTGGAGTACAATGGCATGATCTCAGCTCACTGCAACTTCTGCCTCCCAGGTTGAAGCGATTCTCCTGCCTTAGCCTCCCGAGTAGCTGGGATTACAGGCACGCACCACCATGCCCAGCTAATTTTTGTATTTTTAGTAGAGATGGGGTTTTACTATGTTGGCCAGGCTGGTCTTGAACGCCTGACCTCAGGTGGTTCACCCGTCTTGGCCTCCCAAAGTGCTGGGATTACAGGCGTGAGCCACCGCACCCACCACCATGCCCGGCAGTCATAGGAATTTCTTAAGCTTCAACCACCACTCAGGACAGCATGCAGACACCTTGCAAAGCATCTTGCTCTTTGTCCTCTGACCTGCCCATGCGTTCTTCCAGGTCACTGTTATGAATCCCAGCATCCCATTTGCCACTTAGCTCTGGCTGGCTCCCAGGCTCTCCCCTGCACCCAGTGATGGTGCAGCATCCTCACTGCAGGCACAGCTACGGGATAGCTCTTGTCCCGGGAAAGAGCGGGGAGCTTGGATGATAAAGGCAACCAGTCACATTGCCTTCTCCCAGTTGTGACAGCCATTTCCCATTGTCTTCAACCCTGAGGGTATGGACAACCTAGTGCTTCCTCTCTCCACTCTTCTCCAAAAGTAGAAAAGTGCCCAGACCTGACACCATTTCCCTTCTGTCCTGGGAACCAAGGGTCTCTATGTCTCCTGTTGGTTCATCCTCCAGCTCATGTGAATGATCTGTGGTTCCTCCTTTCACATGAATCAACTCAGTGTCTCCTGTGTCACCTTGAACCACTAATCAGAATCTTGCACTTTCACCCAGTAACAGGGGCATTTCCTTTTATTTCAGTGTCTGGGGTCACTGAAACAGGGGCTTGACCAGTGTTATATTTTCTTTCTCTCCCCAGTAAAAAGGCAGGCAGTCCAGACACCACAGCATGTGCATGCCACACGCATGCGCCCCCCCAACCCCTATGATGAGAAGACACACCCTCGAGTGATGAACTTCTTTCTGTGCTGGAGCCCATGGGGTCCTCTGAGTCCCACTTCCTGCCTTCCTCAGGTACCTGCTTCTGACTGCAGAAGGCTCTTCCGTCCCAGGATTGTGGTTTCTCACCAGTTTCTCAACAGTTTCCTTTGTTATAAAACTTGAGAGAAAACATTCCTCTAGTAGAAAGAGACTGCCTTCATCCACCCTTTGGAATAACCAGCTCCAGCCTAGGTCCCATTTCCTGCACTGGTGGAAGAAAAGTCTCTTCTTCGCTAAGTGGTTCCTTTGATGACCTTATAGATTCAGGCAGCTTGGGAAGGGAAGTTTCTCTAAAAGCCACAGAGCGTCCAGCTCATGGAACCCTCAGGATCCCTGGCCCATCTTAGGCCACATGGAGTCAGCCTCGTGCCCCCAGCCCATCTGTTCCTGTGCACTGCACTCCAGTGGGTCTCACCCTTGCATCCAGGGTTCTCTCCCACAGGATGAGCTTGTCAACATTCTCTTTTTCTAACACACACACTTGTCAGCAGGTGCTGGTATAAGCCAAGCTGAGCTCGTGGGAGGATGGCAAGAGAATAGGCCCAACAGTCTTTGTGGGAGACAGAGCCCACGTTTCTCCACAAACAGCTTCCGGGAAGAGTGGACGGGTCAGACTAGACCAAACCAGCCTCTTGAGAACACCACACTGCCCAGACCCACTTAGTGCCTCCGTGTAACCCGCTGGTTAGAGTCCACCTGCTAGGCAGCCAGAAGCGGCAAAAGCCCAGCCCCACTGTCCCATTCTTGACCTGGTCCTCCATGCTCACTGTGACAGCAGCACAGGCACCCCGACCGGGCCACAGCGAGCTGGTGGCCATGTCCCTGGCTCTGCTAACTTGGCCTATCTCATTTCTTAACCTGTTTTTCATGATGTGGACCTCTTGAGAGTATACTTGAAAAAAGTGAATTATCTATGTGGATAAAGGACTGGTACACTATGTTGAAAACGTAACAAACCAACCAGATGGGAAAGCATCTGTGCTATGGGACTTTTTTGTTTGCTTGTTTTGTTTAATAGGCATATTTTATTTAAATAAATCTTCCAGTAGGAAATGGAGAATGCATTGCCTTTGCTTAGAAGAGGGCCGTGTAAGGAGTTACCTGTAAATGCGTATGTGCAGCTCACCAGTATTCCCGTACTGGGAACACCAGCACGTCCGCATCACAGTTCCCAAAAGAACTTTAAAGTCTCAAACCCCCCTGTCCCCCCTCGTCTCGTTTCTCTCCTGATTCCAGCCAGGCTTTATGAATCTTTCTCTCCACAGCCTCATCTCCGTCCTCATCCACTTCCCCTAGAACGTTCATCAGCCCCTCCCTGGAGTCTGTTTCAGTGTCGTAGGGGGTCTTTTCGGTTTCTTTGTACCCTTTTTCAACCTGAGTCAGGTGATCCCACCCCGTGTTTTCCGCTTTCCTTCTACAGAAGATAAGAACTGTATCCGCCTTGCCTTCCACAGGAGTGGGTGTCAATGGATTGTTCACACTCACGGATAACCCTGCCCAGTTAGATCCTACACCAAGAGATCACACGACCTCTCTGGGGAGCGCATCTGCACGTTCTCAGCGGGAACTTGGCCTCCTCACCTGGCTGACCCCGTGCATAGTCACCGAGTGTCACTGTAGGTCCCCTGCAATGGGAGCAAACACCGCAGCTGGCTTTTCGCTGTCAAGGAGTTCTGCTTTCCTCTGTGATTTCTGCCGCATCCTGTTCATTTCTGTCTCAGTCTTGGATTTTTCAGCTGGAAGGGCATCACGCACCGTTTTCCTAGTTGCCTTTTCCAGCAACACCTTTTACCTCTTCTGGATCTTTCTATAGCTCTTCCAAGCTGAGGCCATGGCCGGCCTGGGTCAGGCCAAAGGCGCCAGCGGCAGCCGCTCAGGGGAGGGAACACGAAAGGAAACTCTCCAGGAAGCCAGCGCGCTCGACCTGAGCGCAGGCCCCGCGGCTGCGGGCTAAGTGCAAGGGTCCTCAGCCTGCGCGCGCACCTGTCCTGAGCGTGCACCCGCCCTGCGCGCACCCGCTGTAAGCGCGATCCCGGCCGCCGCCACGCAGCACGAGCGCTCCGAGGGACTTTTGAATGGAGACGGAGTCTTGCTCTGTCGCCAGGCTGGAGTGCAATGGCCCGATCTCGGCTCATTGCAACCTCCGCCTCCCGGGTTCAAGTGATTCTCCTGCCTCAGCCTCCCGAGTAGCTGGGACAACAGGCATAAGCCACCACTCTCGGCTAATTTTTGTATTTTTAGTAGAGACGGGGTTTCACCATGTTGGTCAGGCTGATTTCGAACTCCTGACCTCATGGTACGCCCGCTTCGGCCTCCCAAAGTGCTGGGATTACAAGCGTGAGCCACCACGCCCGGCCCGAGCCTGGTACTTTTTAAAAAATCCTCAGTACCTGTAGAGACACAGCTGAACATCATCTCATTAGCCAAGGTTTTCTCTCAACTAAATGGCAAGAACGGATGGCTTTCCTTTCTTTCCATTTGGATATCTGTAGTCTCCAAAAATAAGGCAAAGGTAAAGATGACACCCAGAGCCAACTCCATGTAACAGCAGGTTCGCAAACCACAGTATAGCTTGTTCTGACAGCAGGAAGACCCCACAAGCCCTTCTCAGGGAAGGTGACGGGGTTCAGGACACACACCCCAGAATGTGGCACCTTGGCATTTGAGAAAACAGCAGAAGCAGGAAGTTCACTCTCACCTTCCCCACATCCCCTGGCCCCTGCAGCAGGCCCAAGACCCTTGTTCCACAGGTGCCCTCCCTGCCCCCAGAGGAGAGGAATGTCTCCATCTCTGAAGACACAGGGGTACAGAGAAGAACCTGCACAAACGGGCACTGCGGAGTCCCCCAGCTTATTCCCAAGGGATCACACCCCTTTGTCCCACTGTCCCTCACACCTGTCGACTTCTTCATCAGACTTAGCAGCGTAAAAATACACAGGTGTCGGCCAGACACAGTGGCTCACGCCTGAAATCCCAGCACTTTGGGAGGCCGAGGTGGGCGGATCACTTGAGGTCAGGAGTTTGACACCAGCCTGGCCAACATGGTGAAACCCCATCTCTACTAAAAATACAAAAATTAGCTGTAATCCCAGCTACTCAGGAGGCTGAGGCAGGAGAATCGCTGGAACCCGGGAGGCAGAGGTTGCAGTGAGCTGAGATCGTCCCACTGCACTCCAGCCTGGGCAACAGAGTGAGACTCCATCTCAAAACAGACAAACAAAAAAACAGGTGTCTGTGTCTTTGGGTCCTCATTTCTGAAGGTTCCCATGTCATGTAAAACTTGCATCACTTAACAATGAGAGATGTCCTGAGAAATGTGTCACTAGGCTGTTTTGTCACTGTGGGAACCTCACAGAGTGCACTTACACAGACCTAGAGGCATGACCTGCGGCACACTTGGTCTCTGTGGGGCCGCTGATTGCTTCCGGACTGCAAACCCGCACAGCATGTCACTGTGTTGAACACTGCAGGCAACTGAAACACAATGGGAGGTATTTTTGTATCTAAACATAGAAAAGGGACAACTAAAATCCAGTGTTATAGTCATACGGGATCACCATTGCATATTCAGTCTGTTGTTGACTGAAGCATCTTTATGAGGTGCATGGCTGTATTAAATAAAATTTGTATGGTTTTCTCTTGTTAATGGGGGCCCTGGTCATGACCCTAGTGATGGATGAGGAAAAGAAATGTTTCCTCCCCTGCAAAGGTTTGGTCCCAGTTAAAAGATGGGGAAATCTCAGATAGAAAATCGTAAGTGACTTTCCTCTCATCCAGGCAGTGTGTGTTGAAAAAGAGTCAGGAGCAAATCTCAGAGCCATGAGGCCGCAGCCCCTCTTTGAGAATCGCTCCTTGAAGCATCCTGAACCACAGAGAACAAGCGCCGGCTCCCCAGGGAGCAGAAGCCAGCACCTCAGATAGAAGCCTCCCCTCCAGGGAAATGAGTCACAGACGAGCCCGGGTGAGGCTGCGCGGCTGCGCCTGCCCCGACCTTTGCTTTTAACTTCCTTTCTCCTTTGCAGTCACCTTCCCATGAGGGAGATGATACTCCGAAGATGGGTTCATTTTGTCCAGACTTTGTCCAGGTTCCCGAAGATGATCTGGAGGATCATTTTATTGTATGTTTATGGAAATAAACAAAACCAGTGCCAGTGAGCCTCGCAATAGAAGGTGGTGAGTATAAAATGTAAACGGCACCCTGATCAGCACTCAGCCTTCTTCGTGTTCACACTGAAACTATCCAGCCTGCCAGGTCCTTGCTGCTGGGTAAACAGCATCTCCCCAATTCCCCGTGCAGTGCTCTCTGTTGTTTGGGCTCCGTCCCCTCTGGTGCCCTCTTCAGGAGAACAATACTTTCAGCTGAAGGTTATAAATTGGCAAACAAGTGGAGTGGTGTGTTGGTAAATAGCTAACAACCAGCTCTCCAGAAACACACAAACTTGGAATGAATAAATATACCTTACATGAGCATTATAAATTGTATTGCTATATAGGATGTGTAGTACACAATTACAATAACAAAATACACAATATTTTTCTTATAACTCCATATAGCCAGACTTAATAGCTAATGCTTTTGTTGATTTTTGCCAAATGTTTGTCTTGCAGCCAACCTAAGATTGTAATTGGTAAACAAATGTAGCCTCAACATGAATGTTGGTTATTTTCATTTACATTTTTGAGCAAGACAAAAGTGAAACAACGAAAATGTGTCTTCAGTGAAACACCATAAACATATGTTAGAACTTTACTCATACATTAATGACATAAGCCATTTCTTTGCTAAATGGGATAATAGTTTTTGAAGATCAGATCTCGATTCTTTTGTGCTGTTTACAATGTGATGGTGCAGATATGACACATTTTTAATTTAAATTGCATTATGAACACTGCCTTCATCACATTCTTAAGTCTAGAGCCTAGACTAAAACAATGAAATGAAATCAACCCTGATTTGTGGCTTTTGCTGATTTCCATGGTATAAATATTCCCACCAGACTCACTGAAGGAGGAGTTGGAAAGAGATGTGCCTTAAGTAGCAATTTAATTTTATATAATGACTGTATTTAAAAATTGGCTCTCAAGATTCCTGGAAATGTCACCCTCAGCTGTCACGAGGCAGGGAGAGCCGCCTGCAGCACCTCCCGGCTGTGTGTGGTGTGTGCTGGGGGGCAGCATAAGCCCAGACTCTGATTGGAGGGCTACACAGCATTGCTGAGTCTAGGCAGGCTGAGGCACTCAGCTAGAGATTTCAGGACACAGATTTTTTTTGGTGGTTCTTTCATTAATCAGCAAATATTTATGGAGTGTCTAATGCATGCCAATCACTGCGATGCCTGGAGGAGATGGGTAGCTACGCAGAGTGGACAACAGCCCTGCCCTGCAGAGGGTATGGTCCCAGCTGGTTCTCTACCTCCAAGACTGCTGAGTCCCTGTCTCCCAGACCAACTCATCCTCTCCACCCAGTGTGTGGTGTTCTGGGGCCCCTGCGGAAGGGTGCGCAGCTGTTCCAGATGACAGGGAGCTGCCCTGGACCCCTCGCTCTCCTTCCTCCTGTTCCACAGTAGCCACTACCAAGTCCCAGCCACTTCTCCTGCAAGAGCTCCTCCTCTCCCTCTGCTGCCTGACCTGGGCCAGCACTCACTCTCACTTCTGCCTCTTCAGCAGCCTCCTGCGGACTTCTAGCTCCCTCTTCCCCCAGGCCACTCTCCATTCAGCAACTAGGCTGATTTTTAAGATTAAAAAACCTGTGTTTTTTGTTTTGTTTTGTTTTGTTTTTGAGACAGGGTCTCACTCTGTCACCCATGCTGGAGTGCAGTGGTGTGATCACAGCTTACTGCAGCCTTGACCAACCTCCTGGGCTCAAGAGATCCTCCCACCTTAGCCTCCCAAATAGCTGGTACTATAGGTATGCACCACCATGCCCAGCTAATTTTTGTATTTTTCTGTAGAGACAGGGTCTCTTATGTTGCCCAGGCTGGTCTTGAACTCCTGAGCTCAAGCAATCCACCCACCTTAGCCTCCCAAAGTGCTGGGATTATGGGCATGAGCCAGCACAACTGGCCAGATCAAATTTAATGAACATAAAAAACGAAAATACATTCAAGAGGGTCCATGATGTCAAAGTTAGTTCTTGGAAAAGATTGATTTGACAAATATCTGGCATGATGTAGGAAGAAAAAAAGAAAGCACAAAAGTATGATATGAGGAATAGAAGTGGAATCTAACTTCAGAGAGAGATCTTTTTAAGAGAAAGAAAATAAGAAGACTATGCACAATTGTATGCTGTAGATTTGAAAACTTGGAAATGTAGTCATCAGTAGAAAATCTTCCTGCAAAGAAAATTTCAAGCCAAATGGTTTTACTTATTAGTACCATCAACTTTCAAGGAACTTGTTCCTCTACTCTTATACAAACACTTTCAGAAAATTAAAAAGAGGAAACACTTCTCCCTCACTATAAGGGCAAAGTGTTATAATATTCAAAATAACATATCAATATGACACTGACACCCAAACAAGACAAGGACCAATCACAAAGGAAATACAGGCCATCTCACTGAAGTGATCACACCACTGCACTCCAGCATGGGTGACAGAGTAAGACCCTGACAGCCTGGCCAACATGGTGAAACCCCATTTCTACTAAAAATATAAAAATTAGCCGAGAGTGATGGCACACGCCTGTAATCCCAGCTACTCAGGAGGCTGAGGCAGGATAATCACTTGAACTCAGAAGGCGGAGGTTGCAGTGAACAGAGATTGCGCCACTGCACTCCAGCCTGGGTGACAGAGCAAGACTCCGTCTCAAAAGAAAGAAAGAAAGAAAGAAATGCCTGGCATAGGCCGGGTACAGCAGCTCACACCTGTCAGCCCACCACTTTGGGAGGCCAAGGTGGACCTATCACTTGAGCCCAGGAGTTCAAGACCAGCCTGGGCATCATGGCGAAACCCCATCTCTACAAAAAAATATGAAAATTAGCCTGGCATGGTGTCATGCACCTGTAGTCCTAGCTACTTAGGAGGCTGAGGTGGGAGGATTGCTTGCCTGTGAGTTTGAGGCTGCAGTGAGCTGTGATTGCGCCACTGTACTCCAGCCTGGGTGACAGAGTGAGACCCTGTCTCAGAAAAAGAAGAGGAGGGGAGGGGAGGAGAAGGGAGAGAAGGGAAGGGGAGGGGAGGGGAGGGGAGGGGGAAGAGAGCCTGGCACTTTCAGTTCATTTCCCTTTCTCCCTCCCCCAGCACCTGATATTTCAACAGACAAATTTTCCATCAGCCAAAATTTAATCACTTAATTTAGAATGTCCTTTTTTGGGGTGAACTCGGAGAAACTCAGTCTCAGTGGCCTGTTTCACTTAAATAAATTAATGTTTCTTGGATTGCCATTTTTCACACTGTTCTTAGTTTCAAGCAAAAAAGAAATAAGTTGAATTAACCTAAGTTTGTGTAGAGATAGAAACAAATTACCAATTTTGGTTGTTGGTTACCCTCTTCTTTAGTCCTGCCTGGGCTGCCAAGGCTGGAGTGGCTGGAGGCACCCTTGCTCAACCCACACCAAACACCTCTTAAGTCAAAAGGGCCTAACTACTTCAACAGCCCAAATACCAACTCCCAGAACATTTCCCAGCAATTACAAAGTGCCAAACTTAACAAGTTTCAGTAAACATTTGTTGAATAAATGCAATGCAAGGCAGAATTAGTTCTTATTTATTCTCTCCTCTGGGAGAAACCGACTCATAGGTAAAGTTATATTTCTATAAAATAATTAGATAATATACATTTCTGGAAAGAAAAAAATGCTTAGCTACTTTACATAATACAATATCTTGATAAATTCATTACTTAATGAAAACCAAAAGGGGAAACGGGGAGGGAGATGTAAAGCCGTTAAATGATCATGCTTCTTATTGTTTTCTAGCAATCATCTGGAAATCCATCTTCTATTGCATCAGAAACAAAACCCAAGGGACAATAAGGACTGTGTTTTTTTGTCGGTTTTTTTTTTTTTTTTTTTTTTTTTTTTTTTTTTTTTTTTTTTTTTTTTGAGACAGAGTCTCACTCTGTTGCCCAGGCTGGAATGCAATGGCGTGATCTCGGCTCACTGCAACCTCCGCCTCTTGGGTTCAAGCGATTCTCCTGCCTCAGCCTCCCGAATAGCTGGGACTATAGGTGTGCGCCACCACGCCCAGCTAATTTTTATATTTTTAATAGAGATGGGGTTTCACCATGTTGGCGAGGCTGGTCTTGATCTCTTGACCTCGTGATCCCCCTGGCTGGGGAAAGCTGTACATGGCCTGGTGGAAAGGAAATGGTCAGGGTGCATTTGCACGGGTAGAACTTTGTGGACAAGACGGTGAAGTGTCAAGCAGGCAGGTAAGCCCCCAGTACCAATGCTGTGGCTGGCATGGATGCCCCAGCACTCCTGGAGATGAACTGGCTCTCCATCCATAATAACAAGACACAGTGGGCCAGGCACGGTGGCTCACGTCTCTAATCCCAGCACTTCGGGAGGCTGAGGCAGGCAGATTACTTGAGGCCAGGAGTTCGAGACCAACATGGTGAAAACCCGTCTCTACAAAAAATACAAAAATTAGCCGAGCATGGTGGCACACGCCTGTAGTCCAGCTACTTGGGAGGCTGAGGTGGGGGAGTCGCTTGAACCTGGGAGGCAGAGGCTGCAGTGAGCCGAGATCACACCATTGCACTCCAGCTGGACGAGAAGGAAACTCCGTCTCAAAAAAAGCAAAAAAAAAAAAAAAATAGACAGTGGGTATGAAAGAGTAGCTAAAATAAAACGTATATCTGTAATTCAATATCGATGTGTCAGTGGTGCCAGCAGAGAGATAATGCAATTTTTTTTTTTTTTCCGAGATGGAGTCTCACTCTGTTGCCAGGCTAGAGTGCAATGCCGTAATCTGAGCTCACTGCAACTTCCGCCTCCCAGGTTCAGGCAATTCTCCTGCCTCAGCCTCCCGGGTAGCTGGGATTACAGGCATATACCACAACACCCAGCTAATTTTTGTATTTTTAGTAGAGACAGGGTTTCACCATGTTGGCCAGTATGCTCTTTGTCTCTTGACCTTGTGATCTGCCCACCTCGGCCTCCCAAAGTGGTGGGACTAGAGGTGTGAGTAACTGCGCCCGGCTGAGATAATGCAAATTAATCAGCAATCTAGGTTTGTATGACCAGCAGAAAGGAAAAGGATATATTTTCCTGAGTCTCATTTCCTGTGATGAAATAATTGGCGCCTGGTGGATAAATGTGTGATATGGATCGTGCGTGGAGAGAATAATCAGAAAGGAACCAATTCCATTGGGTTGACATGAACAAAGTGTCCTTTTTGAGGGTCAGAATGGTTGACTATGGGCAGGCAATTCCACATGGCTCAATGGAATACTTCCATGAGCTACTGATCTGAACGTGGTATTGGACAGCTTGTGGGACTGACGGGAAAGGGGCGCATCACTGCCTCATGGACAGAAAGCCTGGTGCCCTGCTCTAGTGGCAGGTGCAGCAGAAAGCAGCTTCAAAGCCAGGAGCGACAGGAGCACAGCAGAGAGACAGCCACAGAGACCAGTCAGCAACTGCTGTGAAAGCCAACCCCCCAGGCCAAAAGCCAAGACACACAGGACAAGGAGGAGAAGAAGATGCAAAAAGAGATGGGAGAGGGAAGCAAAAAGGAGGATTTTTTTTTTCCAAAAAAAAATCAACAAAGGAAGGAAGGGCAGATTGAGATGAGATGGCAGGGGCAACAGCAGCCACACTGGCTATGATGAGCAAACACAGCTGAGGCGGAGCAGGGCCCCTTCCCGGCAGCCCTGGGTGCAGGCTGGACGCTGGCATGTTCTGTTGGGATCCTGAGAGCACATTCGTCCAACTGCTCGGCCTATAGGGATGTCTGGCGAACAGACAAGCTGAGCCTACCCTTCCGCAGGCTCTGAGGATGTTCACCGATGCCCCATGCAGCAGGCAGGCGTCCAAGATGAGGCTGAGCTAAACCAGCCCAGGGGGCAAAGAGGAGACGAACATTCCACACTCCGTTCAGGGACAGCCAAAGGCAGGCAGAGGACACAGGCAGCCCTACGAGAGACAGACGTCTCACCAATCCTTGAAGACGACCAGAACCAGAGCGCAGCCCTCGAAGAACATCGCTCAATCATATGATGTGTCATACAGGAGACGAGAGGTGCTAGTGCCCGGCCACACTGCCCGCAGCAGCTCCCAGGATGAGGATCAGAGACTCCGCTCCATCTCCCATGGTGCCACCATGGGTGCTGACTGCCTAGGGTGTCCATGCCATAGTCACCAGCATCCCCAACCACCAGCAGTCACCAGAGCCAGATAACTGAGTCACCCAAGATATCATATTCCACTTTTGTAAATTTCACCCTCAAATGTCTTCCCAAACTGTCTCCGTGTTCTATCCTGTGCCAGTGTGTGCTGGCTCTAGCCACTGTCACTCATTGCCTGGGTTACCACACTGGTCTCCTAACCCCTCCTCACCTCCATCCCGTCCTGCTGCCCCAGGAACTGTCCTCCTAAAACTCACTGAATCCAGTCCGCCTCTGCCCAGAGCCTTCCACGGCTCCCACTCATTCAAGACAAAGCCCAAACCCTATCATTGTCCAGAAGTCCCCATGGCTCAGCCTCTGCCTCCTTAACCAGGCTCAGCTCTTCCTCCTCCAGAGCAAACGTGGTCCACCTGTGAGGAACTATCACTGCTTCTGGAACAATCCCTCTCTAATGAGCTCCACATGTTCACACTCTTCCTGCCGCCTGGAATTTCTCCTCCCCCATCCACTCCGTGAATTCTTCATTCCTCGCCTCTCAGCACAGGTGTTATCTCTGCAGTGAAGTCTTCCTAGATCCATGGCCCCTGGAATGACCTCCACTGCAGACTTAACCACATGGCTTGGATCTGTGTCTCCCCGCTAGACCAGGAATCCCTAGTGGGCAGGAATGGATTCTTATTTGATCTTGAATTTCCAGTACTTAGTATTGTCTGAGGCTTCATGGATATTAAATGTTTATTAAAATCAAAATGAAATTAAAGTGCTCGATTCTGTGCCAAGTCTCAACTGAAACATCAAGATCTATTGGCTGATGTTGGTGCAGCTGCCTGTGGATTCTGCAGAGTGGCTGGGCCTCTCAACACGGGAGATGGTGGAGAGGCTGGCAAGGGCTGATGAGAACTGAGCGACAGGCCATGACGCTGCAGCACAACTCAGCTCTCAGCCCAGAGTTGCCACTAAAACTGGGGAAGTCAGAGCATCTGGTCCTGCTGACCAACATCTCAGCTGAGGGCACCCTGAATCAAATCCCTCTGAGTCTCAGCTGTGTAAGAACAGGTGGCTAGACATCATTTAAATTAAACTTTGGCGGAAGGACATTTTTATTGCTCTAGATTATTCAAAAATGTTACTTACAAATGACCACTCAAGGTGTAGCTAGACAAAGGCTGTTTTCTGTCATCTTTGAATGCTTTCAGTGAAGATCATCCCAGCCCCACACACTTACAAGTGTCCTTAACTGCAAGGTGGCCACCAAGCTTCCATAGAGCTTACTGGTCACTGGCAATGCCCTTACCATTTTCCTGCCCACAGGTGTGTCTCAGTGATTCCATCTGCAAGCCAGAGAGTTACTGTAGGTGAAATTTCCCTGACATGATTAATTCACCACAAAGCACCACCGTGCATTTCATTTTAAGACACATGGTGCCACTTTTATGCTGTGTGTTCCTGAAATTGTGTTAAATTAAATGCGAAGGCAACGGTAGGAAACTTGGGACTTTGTGTGATAGTTGCAGAAGCATCCAGTAATGGTGAAGAAGAATGTGAAGGCTGGCCCTCTAAATCCTCACACAGACGGATTTAGAGCTGAATTCTACCAGAGGTACAAAGAGGAGCTGGTACCATTTCTTCTGAAACTATTCCGAACAATTGAGAAAGAGAGATTCTCCCTAACTCATTTTATGAGACCAGCATCATCCTGATACCAAAACCTGGCAGAGATACAAAAACAACAAAAAAACCTCAGGCCAATATCCCTGATCAACATCAATGCAAAAATCCTCAATAAAATACTGGCAAACCGAATCCAGCAGCACATCAAAAAGCTTATCCGCCATGATCAAGTTGGCTTCATCCCCAGGATGCACGGCTGGTTCAACATACACAAATCAATAAATGTAACTAATCACATAAAAAGAACTAAAGACAAACCACATGATCATGTCAATGAACATAGAAAAGACCTCTGATAAAATTCAACATCGCTTCATGTTAAAAACTCTCAATAAACTAGGTATTGATGGACCATACCTCAAAATAATAAGAGCCATTTATGACAAACCCACAACCAATATACTGAATGAGGAAAAACTGGAAGCATTCCCTTTGAAATCTGGCACAAGACAAGGATGCCCTCTCTCACCACTCAAATTTAACATAGTATTGGAATTTCTGGCTGGGACAATCAGGAAAGAGAAAGAAATAAAGAAATAGGAAGAGAGGAAGTCAAACTGTTCCTGTTTGCAGATAACATGATCCTACATCCAGAAAACCTCATCATCACAGCCCAAAAGCTTCTTAAACTGATAATCAACTTCAGCAAAGTCTCAGGATACAAAATCAATGTGCAAAAAATCACAAGCATTCCTATGCACCAAAAATAGACAAGCAGAGAGCCAAATCATGAATTCACCATTGCTACAAATAGAACAAATTACCTAGGAATATAGCTAACAAGGAAAGTGAAGGACCTCTTCAAGAACTACAAGCCACTGCTCAAGGAAATAAGAAGGACACGAACAAATGGAAAAACATTCCATACTCATGGATAGGAAGAATGAATATCATGAAAATGACACTGCCCAAAGTAATTTATAAATTCAATTCTATTCCTATTAAACTACCATTGACATTCTTCACAGAATTAGAAAAAAGTACTTTAAAATTCATATGGAACCAAAAAAGAGCCCATATAGCCAAGACAATCCTAAGCAAAAAGAACAAAGCTGGAGGCACCATGCTACCTGACTTCAAACTATACTACAAGGCTACAGTAACCAAAACAGCATGGTACTGGTACAAAAACAGACACAGAAACCAGTGGAATGGAATAGAGATCTCAGACATAAGACTGCACATCTACAACCATCTGATCTTCGACAAACTTGACAAAAACAAGCAATGGGGAAAAGATTCCCTATTTAATACATTATGCTGGGAAAACTGACTAGCCATATGCAGAAAATTGAAACTGGACCCCTTCCTTACACCTTATACAAAAATTAACTCAAGATGGATTAAAGACTTAAATGTAAAACCTAAAACTATAAAAACTCTAGAAGAAAATCTAGGCAATACCGTTCATGACATAGGCACAGGCAAAGATTTCATGACAAAAAGGTCAAATGCAATTGCAACGAAAGCAAAAATTGACAAATGGGATCTAATTTAACTAAAGACCTTCTGCACAGCAAAAGAAACTATCATCAGAGTGAACAGACAACCTATAGAATGGGAGAAAATTTTTGTACTCTATCCATCTGACAAAGATGTAATATCCAAAATCTACAAGGAACTTAAACAAATTTACAAGAAAAAAACAACCCCATTAAAAAATGGGCAAGGGACATGAACAGACACTTCTCAAAAGAAGACATACATGCAGCCAATAAACATATGCAGGAAAGCTCAACATCACTGATCATTAGAGAAATGCAAATCAAAATGAGATTTCATCTCATGAAATCACAATGAGATACCATCTCATGCCAGTCAGGATGGTAATTATTCAAAAGTCAAGGAACAACATGTGCTGGTGAGGCTGTGGAGAAATAGGAACGCTTTTACACTGTTGGTGGGAATGTAAATTAGTTCATTCTTCCATTGTGGAAGACAATGTGGCAATTCTTCCTCAAAGACCTAGAACCAGAAATACAATTTGACCCAGCAGTCCCATTGTTGGGTATATACCCAAAGGGATATAAATCATTCTGTTATAAAGATACATGCACAAGTATGTTCATTGCAGCACTATTCACAATTGCAGAGAGATGGAATCACTCTAAATGCCCATCAGCGATAGACTGGATAAAGAAAATGCGGTCCATATACACCATGGAATACTGTGCAACCATAAAAAGGAATGAGATCATGTCCTTTGCAGGGACATGGGTGGAGCTAGAAGCCATTATCCTCAGCAAACTAATTTAGGAACAGAAAATCAAACACCGCATGTTCTCACTTATAAGTGGGAGCGGAACAATGAGAACACATGGACACAGGGAGGGGAACAACACACACTGGGGCCTATTGGGCATTCGAGGGGAGGGAGAGCATCAGGATAAATAGTTAATGCATGTGGGGCTTAATACCTAGGTGATGGGTTGATAGGTGCAGCAAATCACCATGGCACACGTTTACCTATGTAACAAACCTGCACGTCCTGCACATGTATCCTGGAACTTAAAATAAAAAATAAAAAAAAGAATGTGAAGGTTTAAGGGACTAGACATGCCTCCAGTCCTTTTCAGAAAAAGAGGAGGCATCAGTAATCTATAAAGAACCTGCACTGGGGACCACAGAGCTGGATTTAACCCCTGCTCTGCTCCCTGTCCTGTATCAGCCTCTTAGTCCCGTAGAGCCTCGATTTCCTCATCTTCACAATGCCAACCTTCCAGCGTTCTATTCTGTGATTTGTAAGCCTCCCCTCCCCTCCCCTCCCCTCCCCTCCCCTCCCTTCCCCTCCCTTCCGCTCTCCTTTCCTTTCCTTGTTTTAAACATAGGGTCTCACTGTCACCCAGGCTGGAATGCAGTGGCACGGTCACAGCTCACTGCAGCCTTGACTTCCTAGGCTCAAGCGATCCTCCCACCTCAGCTTCCCCAGGAGCTGGGACCACATGCATGTGCCCCCATGCCCAGCTAATTTTTTTTTTTTTTTTTTTTTTTAGAGACAGGGTCTCACTATGTTGCTGGTCTCCAACTCCTGGCCTCAAGTAATCCTCCCACCTCAGCCTCCCACAGTGTTGGGGTTACAGCCATGAGCCACTGGGCCTGGCCTGTAAGCCTTTTCTTCAAATACTCAAGCATGAATCCATGAAAGAGGCCATGAGCCCCCCTCCATGGTTTGCTGGCAGTGCTCTCTTTGAGCTGAAGCCCAGGACACTCATGTCTGCCTGCTTCATCCACTTCTCTTTCTTCTGCTTAAAACTACTCCTGGGACTGCAAACGAGGATAGTTTTTTCTCTTATGTCATATTTACTCCCTACCATCAAGCAACAAACTTCACTGACATCAGAGGAAAGTTTTGTGAGTACAGTGGGCCGGTTACCCATCTCTTCCCTGCTCTCCCTGGGTCCACGTTCCGCCCTTCTCTGTCTAGTCCTGTGTCCCAGGAGGCTGCATCGCTGGGCTCCCTCTATCCCTGGCTCTGTCAGGATTGGTCAGCGGGAGGTACTGGCATGAGATTGGCAGGCTGGAGGACACGGCTAGCCCTTCTCTTGAACATATATGTGAGTGCACATGCCTGAACATGACCATCCATTCCAGCTGTCACAGATTCTAGGTGCCTTAGTTCACATGTCTTTAAACACACAGTGCCCCTTCAGTGGGTTGTGTGATGCTACGTAAAATCAGGGAAATGGGGCTGTTTCTGAGTAAGCTACAAGACCTCAGTCTCCAAACACAAATGGTCTCCACAGGGACTAACAAGAAATCTTTGACATCATCAATCACAAAGCTGCCTTGAAGACTCTAGGGAACTGAGTGGCTCCTCTGATTTGGTTAAACCTGGTGAAAATATCTTACCATAATGACAGAATAGTCTTCTAGACTTAATCACATTGTTTGGATCTGTTCACCATGTGTGTCTCCCACTAGACTGCAAACTCCTAGAAGGCAGGAGCTGATTCTTGCTCAATTCTGAATTGTCAGCACCTAAAATTCCCTAGGACATAATGGGTATTTAATTAAATGTTTATCAAGGTTAAAAGAAAATTAAAGTGTGGCACAGTGGCTCACGCCTGTAATCCCAACACTTTAGGAGGCTGAGTTGGGAGAATTGCTTGACGCCAAAAGTTCAAGACCAGCCTGGGCAACATAGTGAGATTCTGTCTCTACAAAAATTTTATTTTAAAATTAGCCTGGTGTAGTGGCACGTGGCTGTAATCCCAGCTACTCCAGAAGCTGAGGCAGAAGGACCACTTGAGCCCAGGAGTTCGAGACTGCAATGCCCTATGATTGCACCCCTGCATTTCAGCCTGGGCAACGGAGTGAGACCCAGATTCTAAAAATTGCACACATTGGCCGGGCGCTGTGGATCACCCCCGTAATCCCAGCACTTTGGGAGACCGAGGCAGGTGGATCACCTGAGGTCAGGCATTTGAGACCAGCCTGGCCAACATGGTGAAACCCCATGTCTACTAAAAATACAAAAATTAAGGCTGGGCGCAATGGTGGACGCCTGTAATCCCAGCTACTCGGGAGGCTGAGGCAGGAGAATCGCTTGAACCCGGGAGGCGGAGGTTGCGGTGAGGTGAGATCACACCATTGCACTCCAGCCTGGGCAACAAGAGCGAAACTCCATCTCAAAAAAAAAAAAAAAAAAAAAAATTAGCCAGGTGTGGTGGTGCGAACTATAATCCTAGCTACTCAGGAGGCTGAGGCAGAAGAATTGCTTGAACCAGGGAGGCAGAGGTTGCAGTGAGCCGAGATCATGCCACTGCACTCCAGCCTGGGCGACAGAGCAAGACTCCGTCTTCAAAACTAAAAAAAAAAATCCGGGTGCAGTGTCTGACACCTGTAATCCCAGCACTTTGGGAGGCTGAGGCGGGCAGATCACGAGGTCAGGAGATCGAGACCATCCTGGCTAACAAGGTGAAATCCCGTCTCTACTAAAAATACAAAAAAATTAGCCAGGCGTGGTGACGGGCACCTGTAGTCCCAGCTACTCAGGAGGCTGAGGCAGGAGAATGGCGTGAACCCAGGAAGCAGAGCTTGCAGTGAGCCGAGATCGCGCCACTGCACTCTAGCCTGGGCGACAGAGTGAAATTCTGTCTCAAAAAAAAAAAAAAAAATTGTACACGTCACTAATGTTATACCACCCCGATAACTGCCATCCGTCTTCCTCTGTTCTGCTTCCAGAATGCAGGCAACCAGGCCTTCACGGTCCAGTGGGAACTGAAAGAATCCTCTACAGAACTGAGCCAGTTGTGTCAGTTTTCTATTGTGGAAAAACAAATCACTCTCAAACTTATTCACCCCAAACCTCAACGACATCATGATTCCAATTGGTCTGTTCGACCTAAGTGAGCATCTCCTCTTCCCTGTATGTTGCTCCCTAGTATGATTCACATGCTTGCCTTCAGCTGAGAGCCAGGCCGAGGCTGGAACATTCACAGTGGCCTTGCTCACATGTCCAGCAGTTGGTGCTGGCTATGGACAGGGACATCTCTGGTCTCCTCCACACAGCCTCTCATCCTCCAGGGTCTCTCTCCACATGGTCTCTCCAACAGGAAAATCCACACTTCTTTACACAGAGGCTGACTTTTGAGATGCTGAAAACAGAAGTTATAATACCTGTGAAGCCTAGGACCAGAAGACATACAGTGTAATTTCCAACCCATTTTACTTGTCCAAGAAAGGTACAAAACCAGCTCAGATTCAAGATTCTGCCGATTGATGGGAAGAGTGGCACAGTCACATTGTAAGTGGGTGACCTTTGGACACCAGTCTAAGAGGAAAGACCTAACAATATTGATACCAGGGGTTCCCTAAGGAATTAGCTCAGCCATATTACCCACAACAAAGCCTGCTGTCAACCACCGCCCCCACCCACTCACACATACACATACAGAGTTTCCAAGGATTTTAGTGCTCCACTTGTAAAGAGGGCATTCAACCAAAATACTGGACATCTGAAGAAAACTTCTAACATGAAAGATAGAAACACAAACAATCATTAAAGAACAAGTTAGAGGAAATAAATTATAAGGGGAAAAGGACTTTTTTTTTTTTTTTTGAGACGGAGTCTTGCTCTGTCACCCAGGCTGGAGTGCAGTGGCATGATCTCGGCTCACTGCAACCTCCACCTCCTAGGTTCAAGCCATTCTCCTGCCTCAGCCTCCCCAGTAGCTGGGATTACAGGTGGGCACTACCACACACACAGCTAATTTTTTTATTTTTAGTAGAGACAAGGTTTCACCATGTTGGTCAGGCTGGTCTTGAACTCCTGACCTCGTGATTCGCCCGCCTCGGCCTCCCAAAGTGTTGGGATTACAAGCATGAGCCACCGCGCCTGGCAGAGAAGGAAATATTTTAATATTATCATTAGTCTTGAGAGAGAAGATATTGTATCCATGAAACAAGAATAGGATCATTCAGAGAACTAATCAAAACTCTTGGATATTAAAAGCATCATAGTGGCCGGGCGCGGTGGCTCATGCCTGTAATCCCAGCACTTTGGGAGGCCAAGGCGGGCAGATCATGAGGTCAGGAGATCAAGACCATCCTGGCTAACACGGTGAAACCCCGTCTCTACTAAAAATACAAAAACAAAATTAGCCAGGCATGGTGGCAGGCGCCTGTAGTCCCAGCTACTCGGGAGGCTGAGGCAGAAGAATGGTGTGAACCCGGGAGGCAGAGCTTGCAGTGAGCCGAGATCGCGCCACTGCACTCCAGACTGGGGGACAGAGCGAGACTCCATCTCAAAAAACAAAAACAAAAACAAACAAAAAAAATGCATCATAGTAGAAATGAAAATCTTAATAGAAGAACTGGAAAATAATGAACAAAAAATAATGAACAAAAGTGGAGGAAACAGAAAAATAAATGAAAACTAGTAAAAAAATTAGAGGGCAAATTCAGGATGACCAACTTTCAATTAATAGGAGTTCCAGAAAGAAATAACAAACATGAAAGCAACAATATGAGAGGAAAGGACATTATCAAAAAAACAACTCAAGAAAGTTTATTCAAGCTGAAATACTTAGATTGTCAGGAAAAAAAGTCTAGGCCAATGTATAACATAATCTTGAAATGTCATTACACTGTGGACAAAATGAAGCTCTTATACCCTTGTAGAGAGAAAAAC
Organism: Homo sapiens; assembly: GCF_000001405.40. Lineage (NCBI taxonomy): Eukaryota > Metazoa > Chordata > Mammalia > Primates > Hominidae > Homo > Homo sapiens. The sequence continues at coordinate 158,533,492 of NC_000006.12, forward strand.
AATTGGTCTGTGTAAGGTGAATCAGGATTTATAATGACTTTGGACTTCTCAACAGCAATACTAGAATCCAAGAGGCAATTGAAAAATACCTACAAAATTTAGAGGTAAATTATTTCCGATTGCTGGGGGCAGTGACTCATGCCTGTAATCCCAGCACTTTGGGAGGCCAAGGCTGATCACTTGAGGTCAGGAGTTCAAGACCAGCCTGGCCAACATGGTGAAACCCCATCTCTACTAAAAATACAAAAATTAGCCGGGCATGGTGGCAAGCACCTGTAATCCCAGCTATTTGGGAGGCTGAGGCAGGAGAATTGCTTAAACCAGGGAGGCAGAGGTTGCAGTGAGCCGAGATTGCACCATTGCACTCCAGCCTGGGCGACAGAGCGAGACTCCGTCTCACAAATAAAAACAAAACAAAACAAAAAAATCTATTTCCAACCAAATTTTTTATTCCTAGCCAAGCTATTAAGAAAGTGTAAAAGAATGACATTTTCCTACATCCAGAACCTCAAAAAATTTGCATCCCATGCATCTTTTCTCAAAATCTTGTAGAAGATATTTTCTACCAGCAAATAGAAAATGTGGGATTCAAACAGAACAGAGGGGAGATAATTACCAGGATGATGGTGGGGAGATCCCTCCAGGCACCCATGCACTGGGTGTGAAGATAACTTTTTCTACAGCTGGTCAGAAGGCCCATGAGAGCTGTCATTCACAAAGGTGAAGCTGACAGGCTGTCTCATGCACCTGAGTATCTTAAAAGAGAAATTAGACAATTGGTGCAGGACCCGAGGTTATATTAATAAGTATATTTAAAAATCAAGCAATAAAAATGACAACCATTAATTCTATGGGAAATAAAATATACAAAAAAGAAATTGTAGTATGTGGCTCAGCTGTGCATAACAGGCACAGTCACTGTGTGTGTGTGTGTGTGTGTGTGTGTGTGTGTGTGTGTGTGTGTTTTTGAGGCAGAGTCTCGCTCTGTCGCCCAGGCTGGAGTGCAGTGGCGCAATCTCGGCTCACTGCAAGCTCTGCCTCCCAGGTTCACACCATTCTCCTACCTCAGCCTCCCAAGTAGCTGGGACTACAGGCGTCCGCCACCTCGCCCGGCTAATTTTTTGTATTTTTAGTAGAGATGGGATTTCACCATGTTAGCCAGGATGGTCTCGATCTCCTGACCTCGTGACCTGCCTGCCTCGGCCTCCCAAAGTGCTGGGATTACAGGCATGAGCCACCGTTCCCGGCCGTGTGTGTGTGTTTTATCTCGAATTTCTAGTGATTTGTAGTAAAAGAGCTGACAAAATAGATTAGTACCTCACAGTGCTGGAGCCAGATGTGTATTATCCTCGAGGGGCTACTGTACTTCAAAGAGGGAGGAAAAAAAACTAGGCTTGAGAAGCTAAGGAAGGCTCCGTAGAGGATTTTTAAGTGTTTTGATGTATCTTGGAGATTGGCCTATATACCTCCTAAAAATAAGCTCTCTGTAGCCAATGATACAATGTTTAAAATATGGCACATGCTGAACTCACAGTCTCTCTCATTTCAGAAAACAAATCTGCATGTGTGTTCTCTGAAGTTCTTCTTAGTGCGGCTCTTGATGCACTATATTTTGAATATTACCAAACCTGAGCTCTTTAAAAAAAAAATACTGAGGCCGGGCGCGGTGGCTCACGCCTGTAATCCCAGCACTTTGGGAGGCCGAGGCGGGTGGATCATGAGGTCAGGAGATCGAGACCATCCTGGCTAACAAGGTGAAACCCCGTCTCTACTAAAAATACAAAAAATTAGCCGGGCACGGTGGCGGGCGCCTGTAGTCCCAGCTACTCGGGAGGCTGAGGCAGGAGAATGGCGTGAACCCGGGAAGCGGAGCTTGCAGTGAGCCGAGATTGCGCCACTGCAGTCCGCAGTCCGACCTGGGCGACAGAGCGAGACTCCGTCTCAAAAAAAAAAAATACTGAGATGATTAAACACAAATGCTCATGTTAATGAATTAAGGCTAAAACCTAACTGTGCGCAATGCAAGATGATCAGCAGTTATGGGAAGATGTGCAAGCCCTGATAGGGAGCCTGGCTAGCATACAAAAGCTGTTCCAAAATGTAAAGGGAGGGAATAAAAATACAGAGCAAGGAAGAGTGGGTGGAGTGACAGAGTAGGCACAGACAGCAGGAAACATGGGAATGCTGAGACCACTGGCACCTGAGTGGTCATTAGACTTGCCTGTGGAGTTTGGACAAATACAGATTCCTGGGATCGATATTCCACAATTATTTAGGTTCAATTGTGTAGGTTTTGTCCCTAAAAGTAAGAGGTTTCCCCCAGTGCAGGCAGGATCAACCTTGCGTGGAAACCTGCCCTGGGTTCAGTTGGAAATGCACTAACATCGTCTGGAAAGACTGTTTTTCCACCTATTATTGGAAAAATTCACAAGAGGAGATCACACCACGCTTTGGAGAAGCCATTCCGTAGAAGACGTGTTAACTGGTTAACTATAGTTTGCACACTAGTGTTGAGCTTGTAGAAGGTGAGAAACTCCTCTGCCTAGACTTTTTTTGGTGGTTTTAGTACATGTGGGAAGAAGCACCTCACTTGGACACACTTCATTTAAAAATAATATTTATTATGACTATAACCCTAATGGGCTTAGTTTTAAATGTTTCTGCATTCGGCCAAGTGGAGCCCAAGAAGCCAGAAGTCGCCCGCGGGAGCTGTCCGCGGTGCTGAACGCGGTAGCCGGCTTCAGCCTTTGACCTCCCCAGCAGGAAAGGGCCTTCGGTCCGCCCCCAAGCACCATTTTCCTTCGTGCTCCCACCTCCAGTGTCTTCCCTTCCCAGCGCTGCCAATGGCGAGGGCGGCACTGAGATTTTTGTCCTGGGCGGCAGACGACCTTGTGTTGCACTTCCTCCCCCGCCTTCTGCCTCTCCCGGGGCGGCGGCGGATGGGCGCGGAGGCGGATGGGCGCGGCTCCCTCCCCCACTCAGGCCTCTTCACGGGGCGGGGGGCCGGGTCCCCCAGCCCCCACCCGCGCCGTGTCCAGCTCCTCGCGTGCTCGCGGCGGAGCCCTGAGCGCACTGGGTCCGAGTCCTGCGCGCCCCCTCACCACCTCCCCCGCACCTGCTCCTCCTCCTCGGTCCCGCCCAGCGCGCCAGCAGCCCGATCCCCAGTGCTGGGAGAAGAGAGGGGGCGCAGGCGGCGACACAAAGGGTGGAGCGGCGGGACCGGGACCCGGGAGGCTGCGCGGCATGGACGCCGAGTACCCTGCCTTTGAGCCCCCGCTCTGCAGCGAGCTCAAGCACCTGTGCCGGCGGCTGCGGGAAGCGTACCGCGAGCTCAAGGAGGACCTCACGCCCTTCAAGGATGACCGCTACTACAGGTGGGCGCGGCGCGGGCAGCGGCGGGGCGGCCGGAGGCTTCCGGGCCGCAGTCCCCTCCGGGACCCCGGCGCGCCCCGGCCTTGGCCTGGTCCCGCCGACGGCCGCCTCCGCCGGCCGGGCGCGGAGCCTACGGATGGGGACGGGGTCGGGGCGGGGATCTGGGAGGGACCAGGAAGGGGACGGGGAGCAGGGATACTGGCAGCGGCGGGCAGGTTCCTGGATTCAGGGCAGCCCGGCGCCCCCGGGCGAAGGGCCGATTTCCGTTCAGCTGAAACCCAAGCCGAGGCTCCCGCCTCCCCGGAAAGGAGCTGCGGGTTGTGGCTCCTCCCTGCGCCCCGCGTCGTTCTCCCCCCGCGCCCGCCTCGCCGCCCCCGCTCGGGCCTCACGCGGCGCAGTCTGGGGAGGCGACCGCGCGCGCTGCGGCGTCGGGAGGAGGGTCTTGGCCGCAGCTCTGAGCGCCCTAGGCTTTGCAGGACGCCTCGGAGGCGGGGGCGCCGCCAAGGGCTGGGGGCGGATGGGCGCGGCGGGGAAGACGCGGCGGGGCGCCATGCGGGGACACGGCGCCTGGGAGCGGCTGTGTGGAACTTGTTTGCGTTCATCTCTGTCTCCCTCTTCAGCGGCCTAGGGGAGAGCGGTGGGGACTGCAGACCCTGGCGCCGGCCCCCGCCCCCTTCCTCTCTGCGCTCTGCAGTTCGGAGGGGAAGGAAAGTCTGTTCACCGCCAATGGCCGATTTACCCAAAGGCTTGGCGGTGTCGGGACAGGACCCTATCGCGAGTCGGTAGAAAGCTCCCTCACCCCCCCACCTCAACCTTCCCCATCTGTTAAATGGGAAGTCTGAACCAGAAGGTCTCAGAAAGCTGAGGTTTAATCATGATTTACTCACTCTGTGCTAAGGATGGCGAGGGTGTCGCACTGCTATGGGGAACGGGTGGTCATTTTTCTAAGACCTATCCTGTACTCATCATAGGTACCTGCTCAGAAAAAGGCGTGTCACACTTATCCTCACATCTGTTAAAAAACCTAATGCCTTCCCACGGGCTAATCAGCAACGCAGCGGGACCGTGGTCATGGTTACTGAGTGAAAAAGCCCATTTTAAACAAATGTAAAAAATCATGTGATGTAGCTTTGGGGCGAGCCTGGAAATCTGTCTAATGCAGCCTCCTGGAAGACCTGAGGGTATGGGAAAAGAATCCACAGTTTCATATCATACTTGTTAAATAAGATTATTTCCAATCTCCTTTTCTGCTAGTCCCCCGTCCCCCGCCCCCTACTCTGTTTTTTTTTTTCCTATTTATTTATTTATTGAGACAGGGTCTTGCCCTGTCGCCCAGGCTGGAGTGCAGTGGTGCAATCTTGGCTCACTGCATCCTCCACTTCCCTGGCTCAACCAAGCAATCCTTCTACCTCAGCCTCCTGAGTAGCTGGGACCACAGGCCTGTGCCCCATCACCTGATTTTTATATTTTGTTTAGAGATGGAATTTCCCTGTCTTGCCCAGGCTGGTCTCAAACTCCTGGGCTCAAGTGATGCTCCCACCTTGGCCTCCCAAAGTACTGAGATGACAGGCGTGAGCCACCATGCCTGGCCTTTTTTTTTTTTCCTGTATTTTCTTTTCTTGGGAATATTTCTTTGGCAACACAGCTAGTGAAAGTGGAATGATCGCAGTGCAAATAGTCGAGAAGAGAACACACCCCAGTGGTTAATCTCCATCTTTATTCACTGACCAATGTATTCACCTGGTAGTTACTGAGCATTTTTTATGTTCCTGCTGTTGTTCTAGGCGTTGTGAATACAGCGGTGAGCAAGACAGGGTCTCTGCTCTCCTGGGGCTTACAGATAATAAACCAAGTGACATGAGAGACTGACAGGGTGCTGCCACACAGAAGGTAGTCAGGTGAGGCTCATCTTGAAAGTGACATTTGTCTGAGAACTGAAAAATGAGGAGCTAACCAGACAAGGAGGCAGGGAGGAAACTCCCAGAAGAGGAAGGAGTATTGCAAAGTCCCTGAGGCCATAAAAACATGAAATGTTCAAGGCACAGATGGAAGACCAGCGAGCCTGGAGCACTGTGGTCAGAGAGAGAGGCTGGGCCAGGCCCTGAAGAGCCTTGAAGGTCAGACTAAGGAATGTGGATTTCACTGGGACTGCAGTGTGAAGCCACTAGAGGATTTTACACGGGACAAGTGACATCAGCAATTTGGCTGCCTGTACTACAGCAAGCATTTGAGTCTTTGCTCCAGGAGCCACTTCCTTAGTTGAGTTGGAGCTTGAAGACAGATTCACAGCGGTTGGAAGTGATCAGTGATGGATTCTGCCCCGCCCCCCGCCATGAGCACAAGTTGACTGCAGAGTACTTTACAATATTTTGTATAGACAGGGCAGTTAGGCTGAATCACAAAGTCTGTTTTATAGTGAGAAGATGTTTTAGATCACTGAACTATCTTGAGTAGCTCCATTGAATTTTTATATCAATGGATTGTCGCTGTACAAAACTAGGTGAAATACTCGGGTTTCTAAGTTGGGAAGCTGCTAGTTACAGCTCCGCATCTGTCTAGCTGGAAGGTGAAATTGCTACTGTGATTTTGGCTCCTTCTCTTCTCACCGTCTTCATTTCCTTATTGGTGGTTTATGAGTAAAACGCACCAGCTCTTTCCCCTGGAGGACCGGGGACTCACCTCACGTGGTTGGCAGTTTTCTCATAACAGGGCGAAGCAAAGAACACAGCTGCTAAAGCTCCGTTTACAAAACATGATTGGCCCCTCTGTTCAGCAGCATGGCTGTTTGCATATTTGCTACATAATTTGGCATCAGTGAAGAGCTGCAGCTATGTGATCAAAGGACTCTTGGCGATTTTCACAAAATGAGAGGTGACAGTTGTACTGCCTGTCAGGAGAGGGAAGGTGGTAAAACAATAGGCCAGGGATCTGAAATCCTGGTTCTAGCCCCAGTTCCACTCCTTGCTAACTGCCGGGCCTTGTGGTGAGTTAATTGCATTTCACTGGACAATCCGTTTCCACATCAGGATAAAGAAACCCTCTTCACACGGATTTTCATAAGACTCAGACACTTTATGAAGAGAGCACTAAAGATGTTTTCAGATACACATAACAGAAAAACCACAGCGAACCAGTCTAAACAATAAGGGAATGAATTGGGTTGCTGATTCGGCAGCTTAATGATGTAATCAAGTTCTTTCTTTTTAACTTGATAGCAATTGGCTGCTGATAATCATTTGGGCTACTGCTTCTCATTCATATTCATGGGGGAAGCTGGCTGGCTTTCTATGGCTGTCTCTAAAAGAAAAAGAATAACTTGAAGTCTACAGAAAACTCCTTGAATCTCCGTATCTACACCCCACCAAAATGGTAACAAGGACATGGAATGTTCACGCACTGCGGATGGGAGGGTAAATTGCTATAATCATTATGGAAAACCACTTGGCAAGCAGCTACTAAAGTTGAACATACACATTTCCTCAGGCCCAGCATTTGCTGTCGGGTATATGCCCTGCAGAAATGCATACATGGGGCCATCAGAAGACGTACTAAAAAGTGTTCCTAACAGCACAGGTTGTAATACTCCTAAACTGGAAAGTAGCCAGATACTAAAAAATAGTAGAATGGACAAAGGTAGCAGAGCGCGGTGGCTCGTGCCTGTAATCCCAGCACTTTGGGAGGCCAAGGCAGGCAGATCACTTGAGCCCAGGAATTGGAGACCAGCCTGAGCAACGTAGTGAAAGCCCATCTCTACAAAAAATACAAAACTTAGCTGGGCGTGGTGGTGCATGCCTGTGATCCCAGTTACTTCGGAGGCTGAGGCATGAGAATCGCTTGAACCCTGGGGGAATTGGTAAGATCAGGATTCGCAGTGCTGGCTGCACATCAGAATCATCTGAAGGAGCTGTTTCTTTTTTTTGAGAGAGAGAGTCTCACCCCTGTCACCAAGGCTGGAGTGCAGTGGTGTGGTCATGGCTCACTGCAGCCTTGACCTCCTCGACTCCTCTCCCGCAGCCTCCCAGGTAGCTGGTACTACAGGCATGCACCACCATACCCAACTAATATTTTTGTTCATTTGAATTTTTTCGTAGAGACGAGGTCTCACTATGTTGCCCAGGCTGGTTTTGAACTTCTGAGCTCAAGGATGTGAGGGAGCTTTTAAAAACAAAGATGCCCAGGTCCCATCCTTGAGGATTCTAATGTAATTGACCTGGGCTGGATCTCTGCCAGGATGGAGAGCCATGAGGGGTGAGTGAAATATCTTGGAGCAGGCCGGGTGTGGTGGCTCATGCCTGTAATCCTAGCACTTTGGGAGGCTGATGGGGGCGGATCACTTGAGGTCAGGAGTTCGAGACCAGCCTGGCCAACGTGGCGAAACTCCATCTCTACTAAAAAAAACAAAAATTAGCAGGGCGTGATGGCGGGCGCCTGTAATCCCAGTTACTCAGGAGGCTGAGGCAGGAGAATCGCTTGAACCAGGGAGGCAGGGGTTGCAGTGAGTTGAGATCATGCCATTGCACTCCAGCCTGGGCGACAAGAGCGAGACTCCATCTCAAAAAACAAAAAAACAAAAAACAAAAAACAAAAGAATTATCTTAGAGCAGCAGGTGGAGACACCCTGGGGCACCCATCTCCTCCTCTGATGGATTTTCCAATGGGTGGCAGTATTGGCAGCCAGGCGCCACGTCTCCCTCTCCCCACACAAAGCTCAGTGACTGCTGTCAGCTCACCTTGGCTCATGTTCCGTTTCCACGCCTCCATGCTGGCCAACCGTCCTTTCTGCTTTGACACCTTTGATCAGGTTACATTCAGGTTTAAAGGTCTGGGAGCCATGTTTTTTATTTAAGGCCAACGTTATTTCCTGACGCATCTGTACTGATTTTGATGTAAGCATATCAGAGGGCCTCATCTTTTCTCCTTGTTTTCAAGTTATTGGGTACACCTCAGTGTAACTATTGACTGACAACTCTGTCTTTTGTTTCTTTTTTTGGTGGGAGGAGACAGTGAGTGTCCCTGATGAGACTGGGATTTTATCTTTTTTTTTTTTTTTTTTTTTTTTGAGATGGAGTCTTGCTCTGTTACTAAAGGCTGGAGTGCAGTGGCCTGATCTCAGCTCATTGCAACCTCCACCTCCCGGGTTCAAGCGATTCTCCTGGCTCAGCCTCCCAAGTAGCTGAGATTACAGGCATGCGCCACTATGCGTGGCTAATTTTTGTTTTTTTTAGTAGAGATGGGGCTTCATCATGATGCCCAGGCTGGTCTCGAACCCCTGACCTCAAGCGATCCGCCCACCTTGGCCTCCCAAATTGCAGGGATTACAAGTGTGAGCCACTGCACCCGGCCTAGATATTCTTTTAATCACACAGCCAGAGGCTAACATATTCTGAATCTCACGTATAGTATTGGGCATTTTTATGTCTATAATGGACATCTCTTGAATTATATTTTGTCAGATACTAAAGTTGTTACTCCGTTATTGAGTCCTTACTATGTACTGAGTACTGGACCAAGTGTTTACATGCATCATCTTATATAATCTTCCCGACAACCCTCAGAGGAAAATGAAGTCTAGCAAGACCAAGTAACTTGTTCGAGGTTGCACTTTAGAACCAGAATTCAAACCCAAGTCTGTATCGTATGCACTTACCAGAGCTCTTCCTGGTGTTTACCTAGGCTTAATTATTTCTTTGTGTACCTTGGGGTAAGCGGAGCTATTGCCCATACAGCAGAGTGTGGGTTTCTTTTTGTTGTTTGTTTTTGAGGCAGAGTCTTGCTCTGTTGCCCAGGCTAGAATGCAGTGACGTGACCTCGGCTCACTACAACCTACACCTCCTGGGTTCAAGCAATTCTTGTGCCTCAGCCTCCTGAGTAGCTGGGACTACATGCGTGGACCACCACACCTGGCTAATTTTTGTATTTTTAGTAGAGAAGGGGTTTCACCATGTTGCCCAGGCTGGTCTCGAACTGCTGACCTCGGAATCTGCCTGCCTCGGCCTCCAGAGTGGTTTTTTTTTTTTTTTTTTTTTTTTTGAGACAGAGTTTTGCTCAGTCACCCAGGCTGGAGTGCAGTGGCGTGATCTCAGCTCACTGCAACCTCCACCTCCCAGGTTCAAATGATTCTCCTGCTTCAGCCTCCCGAGTAGCTGGGACTACAGGTGCGTGCCACCACGCCTGGCTAATTTTTTGTATTTTTAGTAGAGATGAGGTTTTACCGTGTTAGCCAGGATAGTTTCGATCTCCTGACCTCGTGGTCTGCTTGCCTCAGCCTCCCAAAGTGCTGGGATTACAGGTGTGAGCCACCTCGCCTGGCCTCAGAGTATGTTTATTTAAGCCACGTCTCGCTCTGAATTGAGAGGAAAAAATAAAGATATAATTTCCTGGATAGCAGAGCAGGTATAAGCATCCCATCTGTTCTTCCTGGTCATCATCCGGCTGGAAGGATGACGCAGTTCTGGCAACTGAAAGACCATCCTTTGCCAGAGGAGGACAGGCCTCAAGTCTGGTGGAACACCTGAAGCTTGAAGTGGACCTCGTTCCCCAGATATGGAAGCTGGGGCTCTGGAGCCGCCTTCTAGGGCTGCGGTAAGAAAACACCACAGCCTGCAGGGCTCAAGCAACAGGGATGTATCGTCTCCTGGTTCTAAGGCCAGAAGTCCGAAATCCAGGTGTTGGCAGAGTTGTCTCCTCCTGAGGGACATTCTGTCCCAGGCCTTTTCTCCGGCTTCTGGTAGCTTCAGGCTTGGCTTGTAGATGTCTATCATCTCCCTGTGTCTTCACATCGTCTTCCTTCTATGTGTGTTTGTGTCCAAATCTCCCCTTTTTATAAGGACATCAGTCACACTGGATTTAGGGCCCGCCTTAATGACCTCATTTTAGCTTGCTCGTCTGCCAAGGCCTTATCACCAAATAAGGCCACGTTCACAGGCACTGGGGGTTAGGACTTCAGCATCTTTTTGGGGACACAAGCCACACCATAACAGGCTTTCCTTGAAAAGAACAGCTCATGTGTTGATACAGGGCTATGGATTTTGGCTCCTCTCTGCCAATATTTTCTAAGCGTAGCAGCCGAATGCTTGATGAACAAGAGTCAGGAGGACTAGGCAGGTCCTGGCTTAGATCGGCCGCTGTGCTTATTGGAAATCGGGTCTGCACATCTTATAGGATGATCTCAGATCCCTCCTGGCTCTAAAACGGAGATAGCAGACTGATAGTGCAGCTGTGTCTGGATCAGGGTGGCTCCGTCTCCCCGGCAGAGGTGTCTGAAACCTTCACTGTGTCACCTGAGTTGCCTGAGGTTTCTCAGGTGCAAATTGGAGAGAGTGTGTGTGTGTGTGTGTGTGTGTGTGTGTGTGTGTTGGGGTGAGGGAGAGTATGCAATGAAGGCAGAGGAAACAGGCTCTGGCCTAGCTCAGGAGCTGTTGGGTCAGAGATATGGTGCTCAGCGCATCCTGGCTTGAAAGTCTAGTGTTCCAGGAAACCCCTCCGTCCCAGAAAAATCAGGATGGTTGGTCAACCTAAAGGTGGATCAGGACACAAGGAGCCACTCCAGGTTAAGCCAGGCTGGGTGAGGCAGGGTTGGAGACTCAAGACAGATGAGCCGTCTGCTGGGGTAGTGTGTGTGTGCTGGGGTATCACGGTCACGTAGCGGGCAGAAGGCGGCTGAAAGCTAGCTGAACAGTGCAGAAAGGGACGGGGCGCTCATTTCCCCAATTTCTTCAGCCTCAGTGGCATTCCCTTCCATGAGCCTCGGGGCAAACCCCTGAGCTCTTGCGCTCTGGGGTCTTGGTCTTCCCGCCTTCCTTCCGGCTGGCTGGTTCTCTTGCTCTTCTTGGCTCAGTCTTCATCACCCCCTCCCCTGCTCAATGGACAGCTCCCTGTAAGGCCTGCCCACGCCTCAGGGCTGTGCTTCTCAGAGGAGAACTCCCTCCTGCTCTTTTTATAACAGGGACTATGTTGTAGTCCCTCTTTTCCTATCCCGAAATGAAATTCCTTGAGAACGTCATACATGCTTCCATAACTTAAAAAAATTAAATTACCCTAAATGTCTTCTGAACAAGCAATGAAAGAAAAGTAATTTATAAGAAATAGCATGCATTTCAACGTGAAAATGCCCTGGCAAGACTACCCTAAAAGGAAAACGCCCCGGGGTGACGGTTTAGGAAGCTGGCACCTTAGAGCCGCACAGGGAGAGGATGCTGCCCACCGCTCAGGGGCCAGGCAGCTCTCCAGGCCCCGTTCCCCTGCGGCTTGCTCAGCCGTGGGCTGCAGGGCACTGCTATGCCTACTCCGAACGTTTCTGCACCAGCGTTCCCGCTACACCCCGCTTTCTTCCTTACCCCATGTTTACTGGAGTTGTGAGGTTTAGGCCACACTTAGGAAATCAGGACAAAGCCCCATTGTTCTGCATGTTCAAGGCCCTAGCAGAGGATTTATTTGCGACCCTGGGACCCACAACGGCACAGAATCATCACGTGCCTGGGACTGGCCTCCCCTGGCCTTGTCCTGACTTGGAAAGTCGTGGCAAGTGACGGATCTCGCTGGAGCAGCGCTTGTTTTGCTACATAGGAAGCAGCTTGAGCGAAGGGCTGATCGCCTGCCTCTGGGAGCAGAGCTCTGAAGGCGTGAGGCAGGCTCGTCATGAGCAACGCCGCCCGCTTTTCCAGCTGCTGTGGGATGCAGGGGCACGTGGCGGGTGGGCGTTGTCCTGCCTTCTCTGCCTTCTGGGGCATGAAGGAACCGGACAGAACTTGGAAACATGCTGTAAGGGGGCATGGCTGCACTCTTTCCATTCTTTTTTAGTTTTTTTTTTTTTGGTGGTGGTTGTCTTGTTTTTTAGAGATGGGGTCTCACTACGTTGCCCAGGTTGGAGTGCAGTGGCTCCTCATAGTGCAGTCATGGTGCACTACAGTCTCGAACTTCTGGGCTCAAGTGATTCTGATTCTCCCACCTCAGCCTCCTGAATAACTGGAGCTCTGGCTTCCCATTCTTTTTAATACACCCCCATGGCTAGGAAAGTGCCCTCTGCGCTGTGTTTGTTCATGGTGGAGTACATCCAGCAAAGTAATCTTGGTTGTTTACTGTTGACTTTCAGCCTTCAAGTCTTGTGAGGACTTAAAGACGGAGTTTTGCTCGTAAGTGAAGATAATGACCAGTTTCCCTGGCTTATCTATCTGGCATGACCGGGGCAGTGTTTCTGATGTATAAACCCATGCTCTTCGGTGAACAGAGCCCCCAGTTTAGGATTCAGGCTGACAGAGATTACTTCCTATTCCATCTGGAAAGGTCAAGCATGCTCCTGCCTCGTGGTGACAAGCTGGGAGCTCCAGAACCCGTGTTCTTCCAGTGGAGACTGTCCTCAGCTTCTGCAAGCGGAAATGCAAAACCAAATACCCTCCCCTCAGGCTGCAGTAGGAATGAGAACATATTAGAACTTTGCTGTAGTTCTCATCATTGGCAGCTATGTCAGGGACAGCTAGAGGCATTGATAGGCACTTTATAAAGATATGGCACTACAGCATTTAAGACCATTGGTTGCAAGTATTAGTTTCAGCCAAAAAGGGTACACATGACGAGAATACAGGGATCATTCACAGACCAAAGGGCAAAAATAGAACTGAACCCCAGGAAGGAGCTGGAGCTGAAACTGAACCCCAGGAAGGAGTTGGAGCTGAAACTGAACCCCAGGAAGGAGCTGATGTGGCATGGATTCCATGGGTTCATCTTCTAGATCTCTCTTGCCAATGCCCTGAACTGTGGGTTATCAAATTTACTGTACACTAGAATCCCTTAGGGAGCTTTAAAAATACTGATGCCAGCCAGGCGCGATGGCGCACACCTGTAATCCCAGCACTTTGGGAGGCCCAGGTGGGCGGATCACAAGGGTCAGGAGTTCGAGACCAGCCTGGCCAATATGGTGTGAAACCCCATCTCTACTAAAAATACAAAAATTAGCAGGGCGTGGTGGTGGGCGCCTGTAGTCCCAGCTGCTTGTGAGGCTGAGGCCGGAGAATCATTTGAACCCGGGAGGTGGAGGTTGCAGTGAGCCGAGATTGCACCACTGCACTCCAGCCTGGGCGACACAGCGAGACTCCATCTCAAAAACAAAAACAAACAAACAAATAAAGAATACTGATGCCAGCTGGGCGCAGTGGCACACGCCTGTAATCCCAGCACTTTGGGAGGCTGAGGTGGGCAGATCACTTGAGATCAGGAGTTCAAGACCAGCCTGGCCAACATGGCGACGCTTCATCTCTACAAAAAACACAGGAATTAGCTGGCCGTGGTGGCATGTGCCTGTAGTCCCAGCTACTTAGGAAGCTGAGGTGGGAGGGTTATCTGAGCCTGGGAACTCGAGGCTGCAGTGAACCATGATTGTGCCACTGCACTTCAGCCTGGGCAACAGAGTGAGACCCTGTCTCTAAATAAATAAATACAGAAATACAGACGCCTAAGCCCTGCTTCAGATCTGCCTCAGTTGGTTTGGGGTTTAGCCTGAGCACTGGGTTTTTTTTAAAGCTCCCCAGGTGATTCTAGCTTCTGCAGATACTGAGACCCACTGTCTTAAACTAGTTTGCTTCTCTGTCTTTTCGTCTCATCTGTCCTGGGGCTCCCAGTCTCTGATCAGTACAAATACTCTCATGCTTACGCCACCCATTCAGCAGGAGGAAAGTGCCACCAGGCAGGCGCTCTTGGAAGTCACCATTGACACAGGGTCTCCCCCCTCAGCTGGGGCCTCAGCGAAGCCCTGAAATCCTGCTAGCTTTTCCCAGGCTGCTCATTTCTCCAGACTTTGTAACAACGATTCCAGACCTTCTCCACCTCTTTGCACTGGATCTAGTTGACAGGCCCCCCAGGCCCCCTTGGTCCTGCCCATATCCACCTCCCGTCTCCCACCCTGCCCCCGGGCCACTGGTCCCTGGCCTTGCCTCCCGACCTGACCTCCTGGTGCAGGCCCCAGAAGTTGCGGTGAGTCGATATCACGCCATTGCACTCCGGCCTGGGCAACAAGAGCAAAACTCTGTCTCAAAAAAAAAAAAAAAAAAAAAAAAAAGAGTCCTGACAAATAAGTTGGTGAAAGCCATGGAGAGAAGCAGTTCCCAGCCTCTGCCCCTTCCACCCCACAGACCAAAGAGCTGCTTTGGTGCTGACTGACATGGGGGCTCCTTCGCCCCACGCTGACTGAACTGGCAGCCACAGGCCTGGCTCCCCAGGGCTGCTTGAGGGCCAGGTAACATCACCTGGATGTGTAGGTCAGACTTTGGCCAAGGGTGACAGTGACTAGACAGAGCTAACAGATTGTTTCCGAACACAGTAGTTTGGAAATAAACCAGCCGTGTTTGTCCCGAAGCTCTGGCCCACGTGCACCCTCTGAAACGTACTCTCCAACCTCCTGTCTGACTCCATCCTCTCTCCTTCCTTCCCTGGGATTGTACCACTCCCAGTAAAATTGACATGGAAACTATTGCTCTAGGTTCTGTGTTTGAGGGAACCCAGCTGCTAAGACATTCTTTAAATGTTGAGATAATCTTGCCCGGTAACTCATAGAAAAACATGGGCCAGAAGGAGGGTGGCCAACGATCCTGGTTTGTCTGGGACTGAGGGCGTCTTCAGGACAGGGACTTTCAGTGCTCATACTTGGAAAGTCTCAGGCAAACCAGAATCAGCCAGCTGCTCTGGCCAGGTGGCAGGAATGCTCTCAGCTGCCACCTCCAGTCCTGCGCTCACTGGCCCTCCAGCTCCCTTCCTTTGTTCCAAGGGATGGTGTCCTCATTCTCTAAACAATGAGGAAATGGGTGTCTTATTGTGAGGCAGCCAGCAAGCCCAGGGCAGTCATTTGTTCAACACACAGGGGCTTGGTGTCTTTCTCTACCAGGCTGGGTGCCAGGTCCTGGAAAGAGGAGGACGAATAAAGGCTTGCACGGTGAAGTCATAGGAGACAATGATGGAGAGGCGCTGCTCAAACATTGAAAATAAAATACGTGTTTCGGTTTGATAGCTTGGGACTGATACTTAAAAACCACCCAAGGCAGAGAAGGTGAAGGGTGTTGGGAGGCTGGTGCCTCCTTCCTGGTCAGTACCCGGGGCTTGTGAGTGATGGCCTTGCTGTGCCAGAGAGGCAGGGAGGGGCCTGCTCTACTCACCAGGCTTTGTTATTGTAAATTCCAGAAACCAGCAGGGGCCACAGAAAATAGGGCATTTGCTTTAATGGTGGCAAAGGGGACAAAATGAGGGAAAATGTGCACACTTCTTTTTTTTTTTTTTTTTTTTTTTTTGAGACAGGGTCTCTCTCTGTTGCCCAGGCTGGAGCCCAGTGGCGCGATCACGGCTCACTGCAACCTCCGCCTCCCGGGTTCAAGCAATTCTTCTGCCTCAGCCTCCTGAGTAGCTGGGACTACAGGTGCGCCACTATGCCCGGCTGATTTTTGTATTTTTAGTAGAGACGGGGTTTCACCATATTGGCCAGGCTGGTCTCGAACTCCTGACGTCGTGATCCACCCGCCTTGGCCTCCCAAAGTACTGGGATCACAGGTGTGAGCCACTGTGCCTGGCCTACACTTCTTAACATATAGTAGTAGACTTTCAAGTGATTCAGAATGTTCTGTGCATGATTATCTCACCTTTGGAAATGAAGAAAGGAGAGAATGCAAACATGGTTGTTTACAGACTTCAAGACTATGGTGGTGTCAGCCTAAATAACAAACAAGAGAGCGGCTCTCAAAAATAATATTTATTTGGGAGCAAAGCATTGCAGTGGGAATAGGCATTCCACAGTAAGCTCTGTGCGTAGTCAGGGCGGTAAAGGAAGACAAAGGTTTTTAAAGGAAAAATGAAGAGGATTACATAATTGCTTTGAGATAATTATTTTTGGCTACAAGGATCAATAACAAGGGTGATGCCAATTTGAGGTTGGACTGGCAGTGGC
Organism: Homo sapiens; assembly: GCF_000001405.40. Taxonomy (NCBI): domain Eukaryota; kingdom Metazoa; phylum Chordata; class Mammalia; order Primates; family Hominidae; genus Homo; species Homo sapiens. Next base: position 158,549,786 of record NC_000006.12, read on the forward strand.
TGGGCAGGTGTTGTTGCAGGAGTATTTTTTGTATGTAAGGTGGTGACGGCCTTTATGCAACGTTGTGGTTTTTGTAGAGTCTTTTGTGATAGTTTTTGTTACTAGGCATTTATGCGTAAGTGCATAAGACTCCTCTTCATGGCCTTCCCCAACCTATTTGTCAGGACTTTTTTTTTTTTTTTTTTTTAACACAAGTGACTCCACTTTGATTCTGATAATTTTCCCATTCCCTCTTTTGATCAAGATCTTTCTCCAAAAGCATCACTGATCAATCATCCTGTAGTTAGGTTTTGATGTCCCTCCGTGCTTGGATGGACCTGTCTTGGGTTGCTGGTCTGGTCCCATGTTGGAGGGCGTGAATAGTGGCCAGGAGTCAGTGTCAAAACCCTTTCAGCCACATTTGGGCAACAAGGGAGCTTTGAAGGGACTGGCTGTGAGGCTAAGAGACAGGGTTTCACCATGTTGGTCAGGCTGGTCTCGAACTCCTGACCTCAGGTGATCTGCCCGCCATGGCCTCCCAAAGTGCTGAGATCACAGGCGTGAGCCACCACGCCCGGCCGAGACTTGTTTCTTAAAATGTATCTAGTTTCAGCCGGGCGCGGTGGCTCATGCCTGTAATCCCAGCACTTTGGGAGGCCGTGGCTGGCGGATCACAAGGTCAAGAGATCGAGACCATCCTGACCAACATGGTGAAGCCCCATCTCTACTGAAAATAGAAAAATTAGCTGGGCGTGGTGTCGCTTACCTGTAGTCTCAGCTACTCGGGAGGCTGAGGCAAGATAATTGCTTGAACTTGGGAGGTGGAGGTTGCAATGAGCCGAGATGGCGCCACTGCACTCTAGCCTCGTGATAGAGTGAGACTCCGTCTCAAAAAAAAGAAAAAAAAATACGTAGTTTCATTTTACAGGTCTTAGGAACAGAGTAGTCCCCAATTTTAGTAATTTCATGGAACAAAGTTGGATTGGAGAAATCTAGAAGAATTCAGGACCTAGCCTAGTCTACAGGCAAATAACTAGAACTTGAAGCTAATGCACAGAGCTACCATTTATAGTTTTTATAGTGTATTATAGCACTCCAGCCTGGGTGAGAGTGAGACTCTGTCTCAGGAAAAAAAAAAAAAAAAAAAAAGAACCAATAATGTTTTAAATAAAAATCATACAAACATTATCTTTATCAATTCCTTTTTTTTTTTTTTAGACAGAGTTTCTCTCTGTTGCCAAGCTGGAGTGCAGTGGTGCAATCTCGGCTCACTGCAAATTCCAACTCCTGGTTCAAGTGATTCTCCTGCCTCAGCCTCCCGAGTAGCTGGGACTGCAGGCATGCACCACCACATCCAGCTAATTTTTTTGTGTTTTTAGTAGAGACGGGGTTTCACCATGTTGGCCAGAAGGGTCTCAATCTCCTGACCTCGTGATCCGCCTGCCTCGGCCTCCCAAAGTGCTGGGATTACAGGTGTGAACCACTGTGCCCGGCTCAATTATTTAATTTTATGCAATTAATTTTTGTTCTGCTTGATCTGAATTAGCAGTTTCATAAACCTGTCAGTTTATTTATTAGAGTTGTGGGAATTTTATTTAATCCACTGGTCCTACAGTTACTAGAAATGTGTTCAAGAGTACTTGTTAGGGTCTTTTCCATGAAAAGCCATTTTGGAGTATAGCTAATTGTAAATGTTTTAAGGGACAAATCAAAACAATAACTGTGGATGACAAAACACAGGATAGCCAGGGTTAAGAACCTGACAAACATTTATTATAATCGGGAATTGCCAAGGAAATGTAGTTATTTCTATTACACACAATGTTTTAAGATGGCAACCAGAATCATGACTGACAGCATCACATCAGGACCATTCGACTTTTACAAATTTTACATAATCTTTAAGATACATCAATAACATATCTCTAAAAATATAGCTTTAAAGTAGATTTAACATAACACGTAAAATATGATTGATAATGTATTATCTAATTTTTGAAACATTTGTATTGATAACATATCCATAAATGTAATTGAAAGAAGAGCTGCTATCACTGATCACCTGACAAAGTTTCCTATGGAGCAAGTAAGCCTAATCATTTCCTATCACTATGAGATGATATGACAGATACAGTTTTTATGCTCTCCAGGGGCCTAACTGGTAAATTCCCAAGTTAATTTTAGGTCAAAAGATTTAATTTAGAATTTTGATCCTGGGGAGGCCTGCCAAAGATGTCAAAAAGTTTACAGTCCTTGCTCAAGACAGGATCACAGCTCACCGTGAAATAATAGTTATTTAAGCAGAGTGGTAATCGAAAGATTTTAAAAGCAATACAGAAAGGCATGCGAAATTTAAAAAGCTTAACCCTTTTAAAGTTCAGTTTTCCTGAGTAATCAAAAATCGAATTGAGATAACACAGGAAGTTATCCTAATAAAATATAAATCCTTTGTTTTTTTTAGGCCAGTTACCAAAAGGTGAAGAAAAACCTCCTGCAGTGTGATTGCACCTCCTGCAGTGTGATTGCTTTTCCTTATGGGAAGCCCACTTAGATATCTTGGAAGTTGAACCTGATGAAAGGTACTTACATTTAATCAGAAGCAGGAAGAATGTGTTCAAGATTTTGAGTATACACTATATCACAGAGGAATATACACAAGAAAACTAATACATTGAGCGAGGAATACATGGATCTTAGAGAACGTGAGAGCCTGTGAAGTTTCCTTGTTACATAGAACAATTCAGACACATCAAGAAAAGCCAAGAGTACAGAATCAAGTTACACTGGAGGAAAAGATTGCTGCTTCAGGTCTTCAAGATAAACATTTTAGCATTGGGCCATAAGAGCAGAGTTAGAACTGAAGGGAAAAGTTACAGGAGCTGATAAAAAGGTTGAAGGAGAGAGTTATCGTCTCAGCCTTATCAGGGAAGAAAGAGCTGTAGGCAGTTATGTGTGACCTGCCAGTCATGGGCTGTGAGATGGAAACAAAGTTGAGCTTCTGAGAGATGAACCTGAGAAGCTTTAAAATGAAAACTCTACCTCAAGAAGTGAAATTACCATTCGGAATGAAAAAACATTTCTGTCTTGAAACTAGAGAAATTAAGTGGCTTTCAGGAAAAAATGTGGCAGAAATAGAAACTGTCAGCCAGGCACAGGGGCTCATGCCTGTCATCCCAGCACTTTCGGAGGCTGATGCGGGAGGATCACTTGAGCCTAGTTTGAGACCAGCCTGGGCAACATGGTGAGACCCCAGTCCTGCAAAACAATTAAAAAATTAGCCGGGTGTGGTGGTGTGTGCCTGTGGTTCCAGTTACATGGGTGGCTGAGGCAGGAGGATTGTTTGAGCCTGAGAGGTCGAAGCTGCTATGAGTTGTGATTGTGCCATTGCACTCCAGCCTGGGCGACAGAGAGGGGTCCCTGTCTCCGAAAAAAAAAAAAATTGGGAAATGAACCAGACATTTAATGAATATCTGTTGTTTAATTTAACATACCATAAAACTTTAAGATTTTAAATTACATAAAAAGCTTATTTATAAACACATATACCATTTACATTTACAAAATTTATTTATTTTTAACAATTATACCTAGATTACTTATTAAAACTGAGATATTAGACAAAGCTAGTCATCAGTTATTTCTCTGTTAACCATTTTTATAGCCTGTGCATATCAGGTGTTCACCTAAGAACCTTAAATATATGGTTATTTTGTCAATAACTCAGAAGATACAGCTATTTTTATTAAACCAACAATATTAAATTAGTCTTACTTATCAAAGAGTTGTACAAAAAATCATTTTATTTTAGGCTGTGTTTATAGTTTTATAATCTTTGTGCTAAACCCTAATACCTTAAAACATCTAATGAAGACCAATATAAAACTGTCTGCCACAAAACCCATGCAACAGTATATTAATATGTTGGCAATTGTGCAGACATTTTTATTTTTTTCAACAATTTAAAAGCTAGTTTATTTATTAAAGACATTCTTAAGTCACATGAACTAAAACGCATTCGGGTTAATTAATATAGAGAGCAAGTTGGCACTTAATGTCATTAGTAGGTTCTTGGAAACTGTGACTGGGTGAAACAACGTCCAACAGGTCCTCAAATGATGTCACTTTGTTCAATGCTGTTTCATTATTTTTATTTTTTTTTTGAGACGGAGTTTTGCTCTGTTGCCCAGGCTGGAGCGTAATGGCACCATCTCAGCTCGCCAGAACCCCCACCTCCCGGGTTAAAGTGATTCTCCTGCCTCATCCTCCCGAGTAGCTGGGATTACAGGTGCCAGCCACCACGCCTGGCTAATTTTTTTATTTTATTTTATTTTATTTTTTGAGATGGAGTTTCGCTTTTGTTGCCCAGGCTGGAGTACAATGGCCCGGTCTTGGCTCACTGCAACCTCCACCTCCCAGGTTCAAGTGATTCTCCTGCCTCAGCCTCCCGAGCAGCTGGGATTACAGGCGCCTGCCACCACGCCCGGCTAATTTTTGTATTTTTAGTAGAGACGAGGTTTCACCATGTCGGTCAGGCTGATCTCGAACTCTTGACCTCAGGCAGTCCGCTCACCTTGGCCTCCCAAAGTGCTGGGATTACAGGCGTGAGCCACCGCGCCTGGCCATTTTTGTAGTTTTAGTAGAGATGGGATTTTGCCATGTTGGCCAGGCTGGTCTCGAACTCCTGACCGCAGGTGATCCACCTGCCTCAGCCTCCCAAAGTGCTAGGATTATAGGCGTGAGCCACTTCGCCTGGCCAATGCTGTTTCATTTTAACATTGATGAGGAAAAAAATTGGCTTCATTATACATTGTTTTGCTCAAAGTCACAGTTTCCAACAACCTATTCACAACATTAAGTCAGGACTTACTATATTTTATATGAAAGCTCATTTAAACCAATCTGAATAGAATTTAAGGGTCCATGCTAGATCTTACCATGAAGACACAACATAAAACATAATACACGTACATGTGTAAATGCACCGAAACAAATATCCACACACAGAAATATCTTACAGCTTTCATTTTAGAATGTTAGTCATGAGACAGTAAAAGATAATAAAACACAGCTGGATCCAAATTGTATTATTGACAAAGTTGAAACCTGTTCACATGTCTGAACTTTATTTGCCCCGATAGGTAATCTAATGAAGATGGTGGGCGAAGATTTTGGACAAAGCAGTTTGGTTTTTAAAAATCTCTTTTACTCCCACTCTTTTGCTTTTTTCAGCTTTAAATGAGTTTAGGGTTACATTTTCAATGTTTACATTTTAGCTAGGACTGGCTGAATTATATAAGGAAAACAAACTCTCCAAAGAGCCTTGAACTAGTAACAAATGTATCTTTTGTTTGCCCATCTGGTTTGCTTGGTTAATGTGAACAGGGAAGAATGTTAGCAGGGTTTCCTTCCTGTGTTTGTTTGGCTTTTTCTTTTTGGCCCCTGTGTGGCAGAAAAAGCAATTTTATGCCAGACAGAGACACCTTATATTATTGCTCTGAGCTCAAGATTTTGACTTGTTTGATCTGTGAGCCTTTTATGAAGATTTATCTAATTTTTTCTTTATCAATCCTTCAACTAACTTCCATTACCCCAAACAATTATTAGTCAGGCAAAACTAAATTAACCTTAAAAGAGATGATCCTTAGGCCTAGGTTGTTGGTTTTGGTTTAAAAAATCTTGGCTGGAATGCCATAAGCAGTGAGTTTTATCTCAACTCCAGTAGAAAAGTCAGCAGATTTAAAGTAAGCAGAAAAAAATAGAGATAGAGAATTTAGAAGACTCTACATGCTAACTGTATAGTTTCAGAGGTGTTTTTAGAGAATTCAGATAATGATCATTTGAGTTCTGAATGTTTCATGATGTAATTTGTCTATT